>NC_000003.12:164917695-165069210 GCF_000001405.40 Homo sapiens | reverse complement strand
AAAATATTTTATCAGGGAATTTGTGCACAGAGAGGCTGCTGCTGGAGGCCGTGGAATGACTCTCTTATTCCTTGGTGCTTCTTCGTTGATAATCATGGTTATAACGTTCAAGACATGACAACAACAAGTATTGGTAAGAAGTCCTCTGTTATAATGATTCAATATGATATATTCTAACTGGAGCGAAAATGTGGAAAATACCTTAAATAGAATCAAATAAGAAATATGTTCCTGAGAATGTTCAAATTCCTTATTTTTGCATGATTGTAACAAATTTAAAAAGTACTCATTTGTGGTAAATACAATAACATAAATATATTTAATAATTGTTAACATTATAAATCAAGTCACTCATGGCAGCTTTTTTTTATTCTTTAAGGAGTTGAAGCCAAATTAAACAGGATACCTTCACCTACACTATTTGGAAATGACATCAACAGTGTTCTCTTCACAACTCAAAATCAGACACCCAATCGTTTCCGGTTCAAGGTTCGGTTTTTAAGGTTTCCAAAGATTTAATACTAAAAGACATTTGATGGGCTGGGCGCGGTGGCTCACGCCTGTAATACCAGCACTTTGGGAAGCTGACGTGGGCGGATCACAAGGTCAGGAGATGGAGACCATCCTGGCTAACAGGGTGAAACCCCGTCTCTATTAAAAATACGAAAAATTAGCCAGGCGTGGTGGCGGGCGCCTGTAATCCCAGCTACTCGGGAGGCTGAGGCAGGAGAATGGCGAGAACCCGGGAGTTGGGGCTTTCAGTGAGACATTTGATGAACACACCTTTCATCCTACAAATACATTTTCTCTCTTGAGAAATATTTATTCCAAGGCAAAGAATTAATTAAACTGCACTTCTCTCAAATTGTTTATGCAAATATAACATACGAATAATAATAGTGTGCTCTGCACTTATTTTTGGAGGCTTTAAATAATATCGTTCATGTAAAATATTTAGCTTAATGCCTTGAAGAAAATAAACATTCTCAAGAAACATTTGAAAATTTTTATTATTTAAACTACAGGCTATGCAGAAGATTAATCTAAAATTTAATTTCAGAAAAGTGTTAGTGTCGTATACATGCAACATAATACTTTCACTGATTATAAATTTTATTCATGATTTTAAAAACTATGATTCTTTTTTTTAGCACGTAGTTTACTAGTATAAATATTTTGGATTTGGAAGTAAAAACAGCACCAAATTCTTTGTATATCACCTTTTTAGCAATAATTTCACTGGAACTAAATTTTTCTTTTTCTCAGTGATTCTGCTTTATTTCAGTGCTTCTTTTTAGTTTCTATAATTTTTTTAAACAAAATTTCTTATCTTTATGGGTAAGATTCTTATCTTTATATAGTTATATAAGGACCCAAACACTGAAAAGCATTGAGATTGATTAAATTCACAAAGGTCTAATATTCTGTAATCAATATTTGGTAATACTGTCATTTTTATATCAGTCAATAAAAATCTGTACTTAATTTTATACATAATACTTCATAACCAACTAATTCTATGTATTTCTTTAAAATTTATACACTTTTTCTGTGCATAGCCATTCAAAAATATTAAAATTAAGGTTCTGAATTAATACTCTTCTATGAAACTAATCACCACGTTATTTTTTATTTGGAACTTGCATTTAATAATTCAGAACTGGAATATTAAATAATAGTTTAGAATCCAGTAATGCTACCTTGCTTAAATCTTTCCAGATTACTGATCCAAATAATAGAAGATATGAAGTTCCTCATCAGTATGTAAAAGAGTTTACTGGACCCACAGTTTCTGATACGTTGTATGATGTGAAGGTTGCCCAAAACCCATTTAGCATCCAAGTTATTAGGAAAAGCAACGGTAAAACTTTGTAAGTGTATTATTTTACAATTATATAAGTTTATTCTATTATTATAGAATTGGAAAGTCTTAATTTCAAGACATTTTCAGTAGAAATAAATTTCCTCCCAAAAGAGGGTAGGTGGATAGGTTTATAAAAATTACGGTGATAAAGGAGTTTGGTTTCTTGTGGATGAAAGATACTGGAACATAAATTAGAATCTACAAATAAAGGTTGAACAAAGATGAAGGTGGAGAGCTTCACTAATGCAACCCTAGCCTTGCATATATTTGTACATACCTAGAATAGCTCTTGTGTCTTTCCCCCTTATATTTATCGTATTTTGTTGCCAATTTGTAGAATCAGACAGTTACTATTCAAAGACCAAAGAGGAGTTATTTCCCATATTAATATTAAAATAATTTATATATATGTAGAATCCAATATAGAATGAACACCTTCATTATGATTGTATGAGGGGTGTAGGTGCAAGAGATTTGGTAATTTCCTAGGAATGGTTTCAAGATAAATGCTCTTGTATCCCTAAGAATTGTTAATAAAGCAATTGTCAAGATTAAATCTCAGCAATTACTCTTATTAAATGTATCTTAGTACTTTTGTTTATGACTTTGTGTTAAATCATAAAAATATTAAATGCCATGTGAAATAAGCCAGGCACAAAAAGGCAAATACTGTATGATCTCCCTTATATGTTGAATCTAAAACATGTTGAGTTCATAGAAGCAGAAAGTAGGATTATGGTTTCCAGAGGCTGGGAGTGGAGGAGAATGGGGGAGATGTTGGTCAAAGGATTAGACAGAAACAACATGTTTTTGAGACCAATCAACATGATGACTATAGTTAATAATAAAATAATAATTTAATATATATTGCAAAAGTACTAAGAGACTACTATAAATTCTAAATGTGCGGTAAAAAGTATGTGGTGTGGTGGATATGTTAATTAGTTTTATCATCAAATAATGTACATCAAAACATCATATTGTATCCCATTAATACAGACCTCCCTCAGTATCCATGGGAGACTGCTTTCAGGATAATCCCCACTCCCCCACTGAGTATACCAAAATCCATGGATGCTCAAGTTCCTTATATAAAATTGTATAATATTTGCATATAAACTATGCACATCTTCTTGTATACTTAAATCATTTCTAGATTACTTATAATAATGAATACAATGTAAATTATATGTAAAGAGTTTTTATACTATATTGTTTAGTGAAGAATGACAAGAAAAATAAGTCTGTATATGTTCAGTATAGATGCACCATTCTTTTCTTTCCCCTTAAATAGTTTCCATCCCTGGTTGGTTGAATCCATGAATTCAGAACTCACAGATATGGAGGGCTGACTGTATATGCAATGACTAATTGTCAATAAAAATAAAAGCATACAAATCATAAACATCATTTAGCATTTCTGGTAGTACATATTTCATCTGCATAACACATAAAACTTTTTGGGGGAAAAATGCTTTCAAACTTAATTTTTAAGTGTGGAAGCCAGTAAAATACTGTATTTTAAAATCTAGTACCTAGAGCAAGCAGAATTGGGTTTGAAACTTGGCTCTCCTGCCTACCAGTTTGTGATCCCTAAAAACATCAATTAATTATCCCAGTTTGTGTCATCTTTGAAATGTGATTGATAATGGTAGTTATGCTTTGAACTTGTGATGAAAAGTAAAGAAATGGATGTGAAAGATATTGGCAAAAATTGTGTTGATGCAGTGAACAAATTTCTTTTATGGGGTAATTTGTGTGTTTCTAAGAAGTGACCAAAGCTAACCACTGGCATGTTTATAATGAAATCTTCTGGATGATGTTAACATAAACCTGTATCTGGTAGAATATCATATATATATATATATATATATATATATATTAGATTATTTCTTTATTTCTTTTATGGTGCAGGTTTGACACCAGCATTGGTCCCTTAGTGTACTCTGACCAGTACTTACAGATCTCAACCCGTCTTCCAAGTGATTATATTTATGGTATTGGAGAACAAGTTCATAAGAGATTTCGTCATGATTTATCCTGGAAAACATGGCCAATTTTTACTCGAGACCAACTTCCTGGTGATGTAAGAAATTATTTTTCTTGTTATAAATAAAATCACTATATTGCAGCAGATGAAAATCTTAGCATATTTGAAAACAGCATTTATTTTAACTGATCAACTAAACTATTTGAATGTCACTGATACCAATATAGAAGCTTGTTTAGCTTGGGAGGGACAATTGATAGGTTCTAAATTGACTCAGTGACCAACAGATTTTGTAAAGGTTTTCACAGGATTTCCAGTTTAAAAATGTTTTATTTTGACTTTCATGATCGTATTTTATTATTCCTTTTTCACTCACCTTGTACTTATATCCATCAATAGCTAGCTATTGCACTAGAATAATTCCAAACACTGTTTTACATGTCTTCATATAATACAATGTCTGCCTAGCTACCAGATATTATCTCACGCATCTCTGTCCTTCTTACTGTTCTATAATATATAGTCATTTTCCGTAACTTCAAATCTTTGCACAGTTTGTTTTTTTGGTAACTACTGAAACTTAATGTTCTTTATCACTCATATATCATTCAGCACTCAATGAAAATTTTATCTCATAAGAACTTCTCCCAAACTCTCCCATAAGGGCTTAGTCTTTATCTTTATACTTGACTTAGTATAATAATCCTATTAGTGTATTATTCCTGTATATGTTTGTTTTTATGTTTGTTGCTCAAAAAATGTGAGATTTTTGAGACCAAACATCATAACTTTAAAAAAATATGTTTGATTCATGATGGATTTGGGTCAAACGTTTGTCAGTTACTTCTTTTTAAATGGCAATGCTAACTATTTCTATATCAAAGATAAACCAGTGAGTAGTTGTTTTAAAGAGTTTCATTTGGTACAGAATTATTAATAAATTTTACTAATCTCTGTTTGCAGCATCACTATCTATAATCGACACCAGAGTGAGACTGTCAGAGCTAATTTCCATACATCCTTTCCTTTAAAAATCCATATCTAATTAGTCAGGAAGTCTTTTTCCTTTCATCATATCAGTGTATTTCCAGTTTGTCTCTATCATGTCAGCTCTTCATCAGCTCTCAAGAAACAGACTACTAAATTTTTATTAAGGTACATATCATTTTGGAAGCTCCTGCAGTACCTTGGGCATACATGGGCCTAACTGATAAACATGCCATTACCTTATCATGACTAAGTTATTATTTTATTTATTTTTATTTTTTATTTTATTTATTTATTTTTGAGATGGAGTCTCACTTTGTCACCTAGGCTGGAGTGCAGTGAGGGTATCTCAAATCACTGCGACCTCCGCCTCTTGGGTTCAAGCGATTCTCCTGCCTGAGCCTCCTGAGTAGCTGGGATTACAGGTGCGTGTCACCACCCCCAGCTAATTTTTTGTATTTTTAGTAGAAACAGGGTTTCATCATGTTAGCCAGGATGGTTTCAATCTCCTATCTCGTGATCCACCCACCTGGGCATAAGTTATTAAAATTAATGTAATTAAAATGAAATAGGACAGTTAAGTAATATATTAATAGTATTATATATGTTATATATTTTATACATTACTATATTAATAATGTTAAAAAGTTTGAAGTTTTTTGTTTTACCTATAATATTTCACTGGTACATATAGTGAAGACAATTTGTGTAGAAACAGGAGAAGTAAATTATAGCAACAAATTAATTCATGAAGAGCATATAAAATATATAATCTTTTTGTGTTTTAAACATATTTGAAAATCGTATTTTCAAATTCTTGCCTTATAGAATAATAATAATTTATACGGCCATCAAACATTCTTTATGTGTATTGAAGATACATCTGGAAAGTCATTCGGTGTTTTTTTAATGAATAGCAATGCAATGGGTAAGAATAATTCATTTGATAATATATTTATAGATTTCACTTGAAATGTTTTAACTGCTCTCTTTATTTCAATCATTCATATTGTATGTGAGAGTAAACTCTATTATAGTTAATATTAACATGTGACATTATTATAAGAAGATTTTGAAATTAAAGACAAAATCAATTTTTGCATGCCAGCGCATCTATTTTGGGGAGAGTATGCTATGCTGTGGTATTCAGGCACTCTATTTTCCTTTCAAAGGAATGTTGAAACACATCCATGCCAATGGGTGTTTTCATTCCCACAATCTCATTTGTCGAGATAAGTAAACATGCCACTACAAATGAAAACAAAAAAGATGTCTATGGAAGTAGAAAAAAGAGTATTTTTTTTAGTTTATCATAACTCATATAATGTAGTATTTTATTTTGTAATATTATGAGTGTAGTATCTAATAGGTGAATTGGTGATAATAAAAAATTAAAGAAATTAATCACATTTCAGCAGGATCAGTTTATTACATGGTTTTCCAGCCAGTTACTGTGTCTTACATTTAGAAAAGTTAAATTAAAACTTTTGACATTTTGTCTTTTAGAAATTAATATGTGATAACTTGATCTTTCAGATAATCTTCAATTTAAACGACTAATTAAAAATGCAGTTTTAGAGAAAAATCTTTTGGTCGCCAGAGAACTAATCCTTTGCAACTAACCCTTTGCAACACAATATCCAGGGGAGCTTTTGCCACCACCTGTGAAAGAAAATAGCTGGGATATTTTATTATAAGCCTCAGACATGTTGGCGTTTTACTTTTTTCCTATGTTATTCCTGCATTCAATATTTCATTATTTCTTAATTATTTAAACATATTGTAAAATAATGTAGTTAATACAAATTAATTTAAATGGACTTTGCAATTAATTACTATAATCCTTTTCACTATTTACATATAAGTTTACCAATTTTATTTTGCAGAGATTTTTATCCAGCCTACTCCAATAGTAACATATAGAGTTACCGGTGGCATTCTGGATTTTTACATCCTTCTAGGAGATACACCAGAACAAGTAGTTCAACAGTATCAACAGGTGTGTTTCAGGTCTATTTTATAAAATTTTTTCTGCATACTTTTATTTCATCTAACATGACCACATATTTAGATGACTTTATTTTACATAGTAGGGGCCTCTTAGCTAAATGTTTTCGAAAATCTTATCATATTTAAGATGCAGCTGGGTGTTTTTTTTTTCCCCTATACAATGAACTCTACATATACTCAAGTATCTATGTTTCTGAATTCAAAATTTCTTACCTCTAGGCAGCTGAGTTCAAGAATTGGAATTCATTGAGATGTTGAATATTATATATTTACTTATTAATGACTTTATCTGATGGAATAAAGCAAAAGGAACTATCTTATTTAACACTGAGGATAGGCAATAAATGTGTAGGTCATATATCCTTTTGGTCAAAATCCTAGAGGTAACTGAGTTGTGAGAAGACCAATGAATCTAGCCATAAATTCACAGCAGGTAAACTCCAGGAAAATTGGCTCTTATCCTGGGGACTTCAGAAGGTTGAGTTTGAAACCTAGCCTGAAACTTTACATCTCCAGTTACTATCTAAGCAACTCTTATTTACATATTAAGTAACATCTTGTATACCTGAGCCCAATATGGGCTTTAGAGAGGTGGGGAACCCAGGACCTACACTGAAGATGATTCTAAAACTTTCATGTAATTTCTCTCTTTTCACTGTTGATATATATGATTCCTGGTGTTACAATGGAAAAGAAAATTATTTTCATTGGTTTAAGATTTTAAGATTATGCCTATTTTAAAAATATTATTTTCTTGATATACCTTTTGACATAAAATTCCCATTTGCAAAAATGATCTCAAAAGATAATTGATTACTATAAAAAATTTTAAATTAGGATCCAAAAAGCTGAAATGAGAGCAGCTAAGGTTTTTTGCAGTTTAATCATTTACAATGTCTAATCATTCCCAAGTTCATGTTTATAAATGTAAAATTTAGAAAAGAAGCGCAGAAAGTTTACAGTATCTGTAATATAAAATCATAATTACAGTTCTAGGCTGGCCTACATATAGACTTTGTGTGTGATTATCACATGAACAAGAGAGAGAAACAACACTCTGATATTCCAATTGTCAAACATAAGTTGGCATAGCTATCTCCCACATGTTAAGTAAAGTCAGCAGAATGTCAAACTATTTCAAAAAGAATATTGTTACATATATGTTGATTCTTCACATATATATGAGAAAAAATTTATGTCAACATATATGTTGATTCTTCACACATATATGAGAAGAAATTTCAATCACATGTCTAAATCTTTAATTCTATGGAACATATGGTGTTTAGGAGTATAGTTTAAAACATACTAATTCTTGAGAGCTTTATTTGATATCAGGTTTATTTGATATCAAGTTTGAAATAAGTTTAGTATTTCATTTGAATAGAAAACAATAACCCAACATGAGTAATTAATTTCTTTTTGATTGTTACCTAGTAACTTTTTACATATGTATCATGGAGAAATCATGGATCCTATATATATATATATTTTTTTTTAATATATATACCAGATATATATGTATATATATAATATATATATGATATGTATATAAAAGCCTAAACCAAAGAAAATTTATTATGTTGAGTATGATTATGCATCATATATAACCTAACTGGTGAAAAAAAAAACACCAGTTACATCCAAATTTCCATGTGCAAAATTATATCATCTGTTGTAATGTGACACTGATATTCTCTTGCACTGAGATTGCCTGGGCCATTACAGAAATAGGAAGAGATGGCGATCCATTTGTCCCCAGGAGGAAGAAATGAAGCTGAGGCACTGCATGTGAATAAGAAAGAGCCTATGCAATAACTGGGTGGGAGCATTGCAGAACATATATTTTATTAACATTTTTGCAAACCAGGAGATAGATAACTGCCAAAATGTAAGGAAACAGAAATTCTGTACTTTTAAACATCTTTTCTGTTTTTCTTGTATGGTGACTTGTAATAGAAAATAGGAGTGTGGTGGAAAATTTTCCCTTTTGTTATTTATTTGTTGCTTTTCTTGTATTATCTTATTTAACTTTCTACAATAGACAAAACATATCTTGGCAAAAGCTACTTTCTGATATGCTACACTTTCTAATTTTTAAACACAAACTAAAACGTGAAGTACAAGACATGAACTTGTTAAAAATTTCATAACACATTCAAATAGAATAGGAAATTGTTTAGAATCCAGGTAACACTAAAGGTTTGTTTAAATTATATAAACTTAAATGAATTTTAGAGATATAAGAAAATAAGAGGCACATTAACCTTGGTTATTAATGCTAAATATATTTATTTCTATTCAAACTAATTACATGCTCATTTACTTTAAGCTTGTTGGACTACCAGCAATGCCAGCATATTGGAATCTTGGATTCCAACTAAGTCGCTGGAATTATAAGTCACTAGATGTAGTGAAAGAAGTGGTAAGGAGAAACCGGGAAGCTGGCATACCATTTGTAAGTAGAATAAAGGGTCCGTGGGAATATATATCAAGTTAAATATTGTCACATAATAAGAACTGTAGGAAATTGTCAGGAGTATCTACTATATACATTATATCATATAATTAAGAGGCTGCCTTTTAATTGTAAAGTATATTTTATCTCATATGTAATGCCCTTGCCTCCTGAAAGTACAAATATATGCTTTTGAAGAATCAATTGTTAGTTATACTAGAACAGAATACATATTCCACTGTAAACAAAATCATATTTAGTTTTTAAAATAGACCTTAATTTTAGAATCTACATATTTTTAAAAAATTTTCTGAAAAGTGTATTTTTGATTTTTGTATGTTGAAATCCACGTATATAAAAACAATGCATTCTAGTCATTATCACTGACAAATATGAATAATCACTTAATGCTTTTGTACTTAATAATTAGAAAAACCAGTTTACAAACAGTACAATTGCTTCTTTAGTGAAATGAAAAGGATGGACGTTCATTTATTTTTTAAGGGTTATGTTTATAATACACGTTCAATGGAGTTAAAGATTGACTTGATTAGAGAGCTCTTTCAGTACTATGTATTGAAATACAATCTTCTAACTTTCAGGATACACAGGTCACTGATATTGACTACATGGAAGACAAGAAAGACTTTACTTATGATCAAGTTGCGTTTAACGGACTCCCTCAATTTGTGCAAGATTTGCATGACCATGGACAGAAATATGTCATCATCTTGGTAATAATCAATTATACCTTAATACATTTTTAGTGTTTACACGTGTAAGTTAATAGATTTTGCAGTTTCTGCTTTCTATTATTAGGACCCTGCAATTTCCATAGGTCGACGTGCCAATGGAACAACATATGCAACCTATGAGAGGGGAAACACACAACATGTGTGGATAAATGAGTCAGATGGAAGTACACCAATTATTGGAGAGGTAAAATATGATATTTATTAAAACTATGTTGCTCAAATTTTCTTCTCTGAAATAATAAAGTTTCTGTGGATGTGCGTGTGTGTGTGTGTGTGTGTGTGTGTGTATGTCTGCTTTCAAGTCTGAATTTTATATTTTAATTGTGGAGAAAAATATTAGACAAAGAAACTACTCCAAGAATTTATAAAACAGTTCTTATAAGAAGTCATGAAAAATGTAAAGATATACCAGATAAATTTCTTCATGGTTTAATCTTAGTAGATTGTATGTGTTTAAGAATTTATGCATTTCTTCTAGGTATTCCAATTTATTGGCATATAGCTGCTCATAGTAGCCTCTAAAAATTATTTACATTTCTGTGTTATCTGTTGTCATGTCTCCTTTTCAATCACTGATTTTGTTTATTTGGGCCTTGCTTTTTTTCTTAGTCTAGCTAAAGGTTAGTTGACTTTGTTTATATTTTCAAAAAACTTTTCATTTCGTTGCTGTTTTGTACTGTTTGTTTTTCAATTTCATGTATTTCTTCTCTGATCATTTTTTCTTTCCTTCTACTAATTTAGGGTTTGGTTTGCTCTTGCTTTTCTAGTTCTTTAAGACATATGATTAGGTTGTTTATTTAAAGTTTTTCAACTTTTTTGATGTAGGTACTTACTGCTATAATTTTTCCCCTTAGCACTTCTTTCATTTTATCCCATAGACTTTGGTACATTGTGTTTCCATTATCATTTGTTTTAAAAACATTTGTAAATTTTTTCCTAAATTTATTCATTGACCCAGTGGTCATTCAGGAGCATATTGTTCAATTTTCATGTTTTCATATAGCTTCCAAAGTTATTCTTGTTATTTATTTCTGATTTTATTCCATTGTGGTGTAAGAAAATAGTTGATATGATTTCAATTTTTTAAAAAAAAATATTTTAAGACTTGTTTTTTGGCCTGACATATGGTCTACCCTTGAGAATAATTCATGTGCTGAAAAAAAGAATGTCTGTAGCCATAGGATACAATATTCTGTAAAAATCTATCAGGTCCACTTAGTTTATAATAAAGATTAAAGACAATGTTTCTTTGTTGGTTTTCTGTCTGTCTGGATGATCTGTACAATGCTGTACAAAGAATTCTCTTTAGCATATCTTATAGGACTTGTCTGGTGTTGATGAAATCCCTCAGCTTTTGCTTGAGAAAGGCTATATTTCTTTTCCATGTTTGAAGGATATTTTCACTGGATGTAGTCTACTAAGATAAAAGTTTTTTTTTTTTTTTTCTCTACAGCATTTTAAATATGTCATGCCACTCTCTCCTGGCCTGTAAAGTTACACTGAAAAGTCTGTGCCAGATATATTGGAGCTCCTTTGTATGTTATTTGTCTCCTTTATCCTGCTGCTTTTTGCCTTCTTTCTTTATCCTTGACCTTTGGGAATTTAATTATTAAATGTCTTGAGGTAGTCTCTTTTGGGTTAAATCTGCTTGGTGTTCTATATCTTTCCTATACTTCAATATTGATATCTTTCTCTAAGTTTGGGATGTTTCCTGTCATTTTCCCTTTCAATATACTTTCTATCTCTCTCTCTCTACTTCCTCTTTAAGGCCAATAACTCAGATTTGCACTTTTGAGACTATTTTCTACATCTTGTAGCCATGCTTCATTGTTTTTTATTCTTTTTTTGTCTCCTCTGACTGTGTATTTTCAAATAGCTTGTCTTCAAGCTCACTAATTCTTTCTTCTGCTTGATCAATTCTACTATTAAAAGACTCTGATGCATTCTTCAGTATATCCATTGCAGTTTTCAGCTCAAGTTTCTGCTTGATTCTTTTAAATTATTTCAATCTTTTCATTAAATTTATCTGATAGAACCCTAAACTCCTCCACGTTATCCTGGATTTCACTGAATTTCCCCAAAACAGCTATTTCGAATTTTCTGTCTGAAAGTTCACACATCTCTGTCTTTCCAGGATTGGTCTCTGGTAACTTATTTAGTTCGTTTTGTGAATTCTGGTTTTCCTGGATGGTCTTGATTCTTGTGGATGTTTGTCACTGTCTGGGCACTGAAGAGTTAGGTATTTATAATAGTCTTCACAGTCTAGGCTTGTTTTTGCCCATCCTCATTCATAGGTTTTCCGGGTATTCTAAGGGACTTGGGTTTTGTGATCTAAGTCTTTGTTAACTGCAGCTGTATCTGCTTTAGGAGGCACCTCAAGCCCAATAATGCCATGGCTCTTGCAGACTCATAGCCTATGGCTAGCGCTGTTCTAAATGCTCCACCTATGGGTGTAAGCTGATTTCTGCCCCTTTGTACTTTCTGCTGTGGCAGGCCAATACTGAGCTCCAATGCAAAAGACCACAATCACTTTGCTCTCCCTTCAGAAAGTGCACAGATTCTCTCTCCATGCACCATGGGCACTGTTGGGGAATGTGAGAGGGGTGGTGTATGCAATCCAAGACTCTCTTTCCTACCCTCTTCAATGACTCTTCACTTGATATGATGCTAAAATCAGGTACTGTGATCACTCACCTGAATTTGGTTCTTAGGAAGGTACTTTCTTTGTGTATGGGTAGTTGTTCAATTTGATGCTTCTGCAGGGGGGGATGGTCACTGGAGGCTTCTTTTCAGCCATTTTGCTCTGTCTCTCTGCCATAAGCTTCATTCTTATCACATTCATCCAACTTAAAGTTTCCCGTGAAAGTCTTTTAAATAATTATGAACTCCTTTTGTAAAAAAAGAAAGCCCACACAATTTCCTACCCTTAATTAACATTTCACAGAACACATGTTAACACCAGCTTTGTTCCTTATGGACAGATCAGACAGCCGATTTGAAATGTTTGGATACAAAACAATATAATTTAGCTCAACTTATCTGAAATTAAATTCTCCTTGCCTAATGTGATTATTGTAAGTAATAAGTCAAATAATGTAAAATAATTTCAAGAAGCCTAAATCAGAAAAAGACAGCATAATACACATAGTGTTTAACAGCATGGACTCAGGTGTAAGACTGTTTGGGTTTAAATTGCTGCTGTACCTGTTATTAGTAGATTGACTTTGAACAACTTACTTAACTTCTCTGGGCATCACTTCTCTAATCTGCAAAATGACTTTAATTACAGTACCTACCTCATCTGTAAGTGGTGATAAAAATAGTACCTGCTTTCAAAAATTCTAATGAAGATTATATGTTAGTAATTATGAAAGTACTTGAAATAGTGCCCAGTATGTATCATATTCATGTTTATTCATACAAATAAACATAAAAGACAGTTTTTAAAATTGCTTGGAGGCATACACCTTTGGAAATAAGCTAATGTGCTTTATTTTATGGGATATAAAATATATTATATAGAATATTTATTGTGTATGTATTAAACTATCCTACAAGGATGCTTAAAAACAAATTTACAGTCAAAATAGCAGCCTTATACCATGTTCTGATAATTTTTTTCTTCCTAAATGCTTCATGATTTCACCTTTTTTTAACTGCTCTTCTTTAAATGCATTTTAAAGTCATGATATTCTTGTAAATTTATATATGAGTCACATATACCTAAAGAAGTAGAATAACTTTATTTTTTTTTACTATTCTCAACTTTATTAATTTGAAATTCCATTTATTTATTTTTCTATTTTTTATGTATATATGTGAATGATCTATTCTTCTAGGTATGGCCAGGATTAACAGTATACCCTGATTTCACTAACCCAAACTGCATTGATTGGTGGGCAAATGAATGCAGTATTTTCCATCAAGAAGTGCAATATGATGGACTTTGGATTGTAAGTAGCTATTTTAAACCAATGGTTTTGGTCAATGACCATAGACTTATTTATCTGTAAAAATTACTAAGTCAACAAAATATTTTTTTCTGATGTATTCAATGTAAAATTTAAAGCTACTATAATGTTTTTTCCCAGAATGGATAAATATACCCATCGTGTGCATAAGTAAGAAAACAAAACAAAACAAAAAATGCCAATCAAGGTTTTTCTTTTTTAGCAATACACTGTATAGAATAAATTTTATTTCTGTATGCAAGGTTTTGTTCCTTTATGACTAATACTTTACCTGAAAATTAGTTAATAAGATTTGGTGATAAGCCTATTGCAGTGCAATTAGCAAAACATTTATTAAAGTTGACAACAGTCAAGCAACAGCAGCAATATGATCTGAATAAGCCCCTGCCCTTTAGAGACTTCTCTTTAGTAAGCTATGGAAGAGAATAAATAAAAATTGGCAATAGGTTAAGTATTACTATATCTCAAAAAAGCAACAAACAGAATCCTAGTTTGCTCATAAACTTATTAAAGAAAAATACAGTCTTGTGTGATGGCTCATGCATGTAATCCCAGCACTTTGGGAGGCTGAGGTGAGCCAATCATTTGAGGTCAGGAGTTCGAGACCAGCCCGACCAACATGGTGAAACCCCGTCTCTACTAAAAATACAAAAATTAGTTGGGCTTGGTGGCACATGCCTGTAACTGAGGCAGAAGAATTGCTTGAACCCGGGAGGTGGAGGTTGCCTGTGAGCCAAGATGGTGCCACTGCATTCTAGCCTGGGCAACAAGAGTGAAACTCTGTCTCAGAAAAGAAAAAAAAATACAAGTGTTTAAGAGTTTCTTTAAATGAAGTTGTGTATCTGTAGTTATTGATGGCCTGCTGCTAGGGATAGAAACTAAATTACCACTGGCAAGAATTTGGAAAAAGTACATAATGGACACACTAAGGATGACTATATTTTCTTTGGTTTTTAGGTCCACACCATCTCTATTTTCCTTAAGTGCTCATTATTGATTCAATCATTATTCTAATTATTCACTTATTTATTAAATCAATCAATCATTTAGTTAGCAAATATTTATTTTGCACCATGTATCTATCAGACATGTTGTTGGGAATACAAAGATGGAAAGATTATGTTTCTGCTGACAACATGGATTTGGGTAAAGGATTAGCATAATCTTCAGGATTCCTATGATGACAGTAACAAAATGAAGATGAAAAGCCTTCAGTTATTTAACATAAAATCAGTGATATCACACCACTAATAACTAGCAATTGGTAGAAATAAAAAAAATTTACTGTGATCTTGAGCTTTATTTTTAATTCTAGTTCTTATATTATTTAACCTATATTGAAAGTTTCTTTAGTCTTTTATTTTTTTCTTAGTTAGGAGCCACTTTGATTACGGTAAAGTTACAAGTATAAATAATACTGTAGGAATAGTGAGACAGAGCCTGATTGTGTTATAGAAAGAGAGAGTGTTGCATTTCTTGCATTCATTGAGAACTGAAATTCCTGATTCACCTCCAAAGTGTGGGAGAGAAGGTTATCTGAGAAAGGCAGAGTATTTCCAACACTGCTACAGAAGCACTGTAACTAAGCCTTAAACAAACAAACAAAAAACACAAGAAGCAGTATAATTTCAAAGATCAGTGAACATCAGTGAACTAATATATATCATGGATAAACAGTGGATATTCTACTTTTAGCTATTACTTATCTACTTGCCATATCACACTGCTAAGTGGTTTATCTAATTATTTCACTTTCTTCAGATTATTGTTTCTGATCCAGCTAAAACAAGTTGTTATTCAACTGATAAAGTTTTAATATTTATGTCAAGTATAAAAATAGTTTTATAATTTACTAGATTTGTAATTTAGTTTCCATGCTAATATTTGTGAATTTTAGGTTTAAATATTAAAATCACTTTGGGAAATGATGTGAGCTTAATTGTCATTGAAGTATAGTTTTTGTGTATAAAATATAATAAATTTGAATTCTCTTTTTTTACATCATTTATGGGATAATCGAATAGTTGAGAAACAAAAGCCTACTGTACTTAATGTAATTAAGACCAAAACTATGATTTCAAAACAAAAGTGTTAGTCAATATTTTTAAAATTAAAATACCATTTCCATTTTTTGAATACATATGCATATTTTGATATCATTGTTGTTATTTTGGTTCTATTCTTAAAAATCTAATAAGCAAAATTATTCAATGAAAAAACTGAATAATTTAATATATAGTATTTGGAAACATAAATTTTATAAGAAGATATGCCCAAATAAGTTTACATATCCAAATAACTAGAAGCTTATTTGGTTATATTCTTTCTACATTTCATGTGAATCTTATAAAAATGAAATTCTTTTACAAATTCTTTTAAAAATAGGGCTATATATATTTAGATTTAGTTTAAATGTGAGTATAAAATGCCATCAGATCACTATCACAATTTTTAAGGAATTTTAAAGAAACTTGAGGTACATTCTCAGAAACAAAGTTGACGATTTTTTTTTGTTTTTTGAGACTAAGTCTTGCTCTGTCACCCAGGCTGTAGTGCTGTGGCGCTAACTTGGCTCACTGCAACCTCCGCCACCCAGGTTCAAAAGATTCTCCCTGCCTCAGCCTCCCGAGGAGCTGGGATTACAGGTGCACTTCACCACGCCCAGCTAATTTTTGTATTTTTAGTAGAGACGGGGTTTTGCCATGTTGGCCAGGCTGGTCTGGAACTCCTGGACTCAAATGATCCACCCGCCTTGGCCTCAAAAAATAGTTTTTAATAGACTTAAGATGATTTGAATGACACCTACATATCTTTAGATGTTTTTATTACTATCAGTCCACTGAGGCTTTTGCCTCATGACTACAATGTTCCAAATCTACTAGTTGTAATATTAAAAATCTTAATTTAATGCAGTGGTATATGACATTAAATAACTGTAGTTTCACTTAAATCATTTGGATAAATTAGAGAATTAAAATGCTTTTATAATTTTCAAAATGCCACTTAAAAACACTACAATAGATAAATTCTTTTAAAATATGGGTAGTAAGTTTAATTTAATACAATCTTGCTATATAGACATACTTTAGACATATTTAAGGAAGGTTACTAAAATATTAAATGTCATGTATTATGTAAAATATGGTTAAAATTATGAAAAAAAATTTTGCCTCAGTAGGTTAATAATTTATATTCTTGGTTCAAAAAACTATTTTCCCTTTTATTGTGAGCTGGCAAAATAATCACATTCTGATTCAATCATGTTGAAATGGTCATACAATAAAACTTTTAAATATTTTTAAAATTATTTTCAGTAAAACCAATTAATTATTTTCTAAAAAAAATTTTCATCCTTAAATTACATAATAATGTTTACTTTCATTGATGAAAGATTTTGTGAAATTTATGGCAAATTTACACATATTTAACTCAAATAGAAATGATATTAATATCATAGATGAGTGTTTTACCCTTGCAATTCCTCAACTATATTATATATTCGGATGTTAAAATTGTTTAGAAAAAGACTCTTTTAAAATTTAAAATAATGCAGCTCACTATTCCCAAATTATACATTTCAGCAGCAGTTTTTTAAAAATTTAATGTTATTGGCGGAATCATGAAGAAAAATGTAGTTTACCTACACTTATTTGCTGTGTAACTATGGTATACCATTATTAATTTCTACTGGACACAGGAAACAAAATTGAATATAACATTCCAGACAATTTCAAAAAAATAACTCAATGTAGCTTTAGATATTTTTGTACTTTGGAATAACTATATTAATTTCTCTCATTTCTGCTTACTCTGAAAACATTTGGGAAGTGGAAATATATACCGATTAAACGTGTCATGATAACAAATCTATTCTTTTTTCCCTTGAGCACCATTAATTTATCATTTCAATTCCATGTATCAAATTTCCTTAGCTTCTTTTTATATCCATAGTTAGAAACTTTTATGAGAATATTTTGAGAATAATAGAGATGAATAATCATATTGAGTGTGCTTGGGTCAGAGGAACTCAATATTTATGGAAGCTTTTGCAAACTAAATAAGTATGTCTAGTTATAGTTATAATTTTATGAAACAAATGACTACAATACAAATGATTCACCATTACATGTGTTTAAAAAATTATTTTATTAGTGTCTTTGAGTGACACCATCGGTCTCAGATATTTTCTAATCTGTTAATAAATATTATCTGGGAAGTCTCAGAAAGTAGTATGAAAGATAGGTTTAATGATTGCAAAGTTAATATAGGAGTGTTAAGGTTAAAGGGAGGATTGAAAGCTGAAATAAGAGGGGAAGGATTCAAGAAGCTGAAAAGCAGTGAGTCTTAAAATATGGGCATGATGTGGATGGGGAAAAGGAAATGTAATTAAGAAAATCTACTTTTTCTGAGAGAAATAAAAGTAACACAGACAAGGATGTGACTGAATGTGATGTCTTTATGTGAAAGGAGACTATTATAGAGATGAGAAAAATAAGGCTTATAGAAGTCCTCAACACAGTTTGCAGAGAAGAAAGATGAAATGCATATTTCTTGAGTATATGTACTGTGATATATGATTTTATAAAATTTATCTTTTTTAGTGCAAAGACTTAACTGGGTTATGGTCACATAGCTAGCAGGCAGTGGGACAAGATTGGGGCCTATGTTAAAATGGCTAGAAAATCCATGAACATAATATCCCACCACTATTTCTTCAAGAGATGTTTAGGTCTTGGTTCTCAGAGTGTGATCATGCTCACCTGGGGTTCTCTGAATGTTTCAGAGATTCTGTGAAGCCATAACTATTTTAATTAAAATACTAAAGGCTATTTGCCTTTTTACAGCTTTCATTCTTTTATGAGTGTATAGGAGCTGTTGGTAGGCAAATTTTGCTGCTAGCAATGTGCTTAGCACATCATAGAAACTAGGTAAGTTTAAATGAAACCAAACATATTGAATCAATGAATATGCAAGGAATGTGTATATTAATGGACTCATAATGAGAAGACTAACAGCTATTTAGAAATGACTTAATACTTATAATTAATGTAATTATATATAATCAAAACTAGACACATGAACTACATTTTGATTGTTTAAAATCTCTCTATCCCATCTAAGATACTTATCTGATATAGACATTCTGTTTATTTTTAGGTTGGTAGCTTATATTTATCTTCTAGGAATTAACGAGCATTATGGTTATCTTATATAAAACATTTTCAAACAACTAGAGAGTTTCTGCTAATAGGATTTATAATTATGTAAAATCTGCTGTTCTTCATTTTGTATCCATTCAGGACATGAATGAAGTTTCCAGCTTTATTCAAGGTTCAACAAAAGGATGTAATGTAAACAAATTGAATTATCCACCGTTTACTCCTGGTAAAATTTATTTGGTTATCTAATTACTGTTTTAATTGAGAATAATTTTGTAGTTGACTAGTAATTTCTAACATATATTTCTAAATTACAATTTTTGGTATAGTTCTAAAACCATAAAATCAATTTGTTTATCTTTTCTTCAGACAAATATTTTCTGCCTAGGATTATATTTAAATAGACAAATCTAGTATAAGGCTTTAAAATTGGTCCATAAATATATGATGTACAATATAGTTTGGTATAGGTATATTTCTATATTGTTAAAGGTTATTTTTAAAGTTAAATTATTTGTTATCGAAGTTAGGAAACAGAGTATTTGCCAATGTAAATATAAATCTAATAGTTAATCCAAGTTTAGCAAGAGTGAAAGATGAGGACCTAATTGGAACTTATTTTAGGTTTAATTGGATTGTCCTTTGTCATTGTTTTTAACCAAATATGGAATTTCATAACACAAATGAAAAGGAATATGACATTTATGATGGAAAATATATAACTTTTATAATGGAAAAATATAAGAAATGTTTCTTATGTATTTTCTCAAAGATATTCTTGACAAACTCATGTATTCCAAAACAATTTGCATGGATGCTGTGCAGAACTGGGGTAAACAGTATGATGTTCATAGCCTCTATGGATACAGCATGGCTATAGCCACAGAGCAGTAAGTGCAATTTCATTCAAAGACTTCTTTCATATTTATTGCTTAAAAATGTTTTTGATAATTTATCAATGTATTCATAATTAGGAAATAGCAAAGTTGAAAAAAGAAAGATAATATTTTATGCCTGCTAAAAAGTTATGGCATTCAAAATATCAGTTCTCTTACTAATATTCATGAATTTGGGACTCATTTATTAAGAATGACATGGTAGGCTGGGTGCAGTGGCTCACACATGTAACCCCAGCACATTGGGAGGCCGAGGCAGGCACAACACCTGAAGTCAGGAGTCTGAGACCAGCCTGGCCAACATGGCGAAACCCAGTCTCTATTAAAAGTACAAATCTAGCTGGGCGAGGTGGCAGGCACCTGTAATCCCAGTTACTTCGGAGGCTGAGGCAGAAGAATAGTTTGAACCCAGGAGGCAGAGGTTGCAGTGAGCCGAGATCATGCCACTGCACTCCAGCCTGGGTGACAGAGCTAGACTCAGTCTCCAAAAACAAACAAACAAAAAAGAATGACTCTCTCTCTCTCTCTCTCTCTCTATATATATATATATATACATATATATATGTATATATATATTTAACTAAGACTCTTTTTTGTAACTCCTAGATTTAAATTATCCTTCAAAATTTTACCATTTCTGAATATAACTGTGTTTTAAGCTTGCATCTCACAATTAGCCTGGGAAAATATTGCCCCAAGAACAGGTCTTTAACTATTTTTCAAAAAGAAGTATTTTAATTAAAATGTAGTTTTCTAATTAATATCCTTCTAACTAATTTTCTAATACATTTTTATAAAATATGATACAAAACAAAAGAAGAAAACAATCATATGTTCATTATCTACTAATTTTCAAGCATTGTTTATGGTCCTGTGATACAATAGTCAGTAAACCAAATACTATTCTCAATATACTTACGATTTTCTCATAATTAAACAGTTGTGATTGAGTGTTTATTCAAATTTGTATTTTTATGGTCTTAAATCATACTGATACCAGAACTCTTAACCACTGTATTCATGGTGTTACTTCAATTTACTTTGTAAACTCAATGGAGTATTACATGAAGCAGTGTTTAAGTTAATATATCCTAGGAAAGAAAAAACAGGCTATGTTTCAATATAATAAAGATTATAACATGGAAAAGCACTTGAGAATGTAGTTACACATTTCCTAATTGTTTCCAATTATGAAAATGTTATCAATAATAGTTAGGTAACGTGAGTGATGCTTGTAGTTGTGGACAGTGGTTAACTTCTAGAAAATAAAAAAAAAATCTTCTTAATTATGTAAGTTTTATCCCAACCTTGCCTGCTAATATTTGAAAATGTCGAAATAAATATATAATTGGAGTCATCACACTACAAAAAATGTATTAGGTTCAAGTTCAGGTATAATATTTTCTATTTATAAGGGAATTCAATTACTTTAAATATTATATTTCAAAACCAAATGTTGAGTGGATACCAAATGCCCATGTTTATGTAATTTGATAAAGGATGATTGGAGTCATTCAAAATTTAGTGATTTCTAAAAATTCCTTTTCACTGTATTTTACCAGAATATATTTAAATAAGTAAATATTAATAACAAAATACAAAATTGATATAAAATTTTGACATAATTATTATAAATATTATGGCATGGTGTATTAGCCCAGTTTCATGCCACTGATAAGACATACCTGAGACTGGGCAATTTACTAAAGAAGGAGGTTTATTGGATTTACAGTTCCACATGGCTGGGGGGGCCTCACAATCATGGCAGAAGACAAGGAGAAGCAAGTAACATCTTAGGTGGATGGCAGCAGGCAAAGAGAGAGCTTGTTCAGGGAAACTCCTATTTCTTTAAAACCGTCAGATCTCATGAGACTCATTAACTATCATAAGAACAGTGCAGGAAAGACCCACCCCCATAATTCAATCATCTCCCATCGGGTTTCTCTCACAACATCTGGGAATTGTGGAAGTTACAATTCAAGATGAGATTTGGGTGGGGACACAGCCAAACTATATCACATGGCTTTGGAATTATGAAATTTTAGAATTTAAATACCAACTTTATTTTTTAAAATAAATTGTATTTGTTAATTTGGTTTTATTTTTAGAGCTGTACAAAAAGTTTTTCCTAATAAGAGAAGCTTCATTCTTACCCGCTCAACATTTGCTGGATCTGGAAGACATGCTGCGCATTGGTTAGGAGACAATACTGCTTCATGGGAACAAATGGAATGGTCTATAACTGGAATGCTGGAGTTCAGTTTGTTTGGAATACCTTTGGTAAGACAGTTTCATAGAGTGTTACTCATAAAAGCTACAATTACATTAATTTTTAATGTAATCTTAATTAATTTTAGTAAAATGATCAAAAGGCATGTTACAGAAATAATTCAGTTTTTTATTTTTATGGAGTTTATGAGGAAAATAAGAATACAGATGGTATCTATAATTTCCAACCATTAAAGTGGGAATGTAGAACTAATAAAATTCAATGAAATCAAGATAATTGAGGAAAACAAATATAAATATAAACAGCATATAAAAGCTTATATGAAAGATGTAAAGAAAAAAATAAGATGGTGAAGAAAAGTTCAAATACATTGGTTATAAAAATAAATGTCAGAAGTCTAAGTCTACTTAAAATATTAGATTACCAGTTTAGATTTTAAAAGATAATCTTTTGTTTACAATATATATAAAACATAAGAACAGAAAAAAACGTTTAAAATTTCAAAAGTGGAGAAAATGTGTACTAGGAATTGTAGACATGAAATATCTGAGAAGTCTAACTCTATCAAACAAAAACATAGCATCCAATATTGATATTCAAGACTAAAGAGAGACACTACATAACAAAAATAATGTAGAAGGTATTATAAAACTATAGTGATTTGTTTTCTTTCATATGCACAAATAAAACAAACACCAAAAACCCGATCAATAAAAGTAACACCCCCACACACAATCTTGTGTTTGAAAATTGAAAAATAGGCTGGACAAGGTGGCTCACTCCTGTAATCCCAGCAATTTGAGAAGCCGAGGTAGGTGGATCACTTGAGGTCAGGAGTTTGAGACCAGCCTGGCCAACATGGTGAAACCCTGTCTCTACCAAAAATACCAAAAGACGGGCATGATGGCAGGCACCTGTAGTCCCAGCTACTTGGGAAGCTGAGGCAGGAGAATCGTTTGAACCTGGGAGGTGGAGGTTGCACAGAGCCAAGATTGGGACTCACTTTTTTGAGACCCTATCTCAAAAAAAAAAAAAAAAAAAATTGAAAAACATATTATCAAATTCATTCATGAGTCAAAAGATAAACTGAATAGAATTGAAAAAAAAAAACAACCTAAGAATTAACTGTTAACAATTTTACTTATTAAATCTTGGGAAATTTCAGCTGTTAATATTTAAAGAAAAACTTACTGATTTAAATACTTAAAAAGAAAGAAACGCTGAACAGTGAGTGAAGTGCATGAATTTAAAAAGTGGAAAAGGAGAAACAATAAACCTAAAGAAAGATGTAAGTAATTAAAATAAGAGAAAAAATTAATACAATGTAAACAAAATCTCTAGAGGAAAAATTTTAAAATACAAAGGTGGCTCTTCAAAACTTTTAATAAAATAGATCAATTTATAGCATATTTGTTAAAAAAAGAAGGAAAAACAAGCAATATTCAAATGTATTTTAGTATAAGGTGTCACTTATTATAGCAACCAATTAATAAACTGTAACCAACAGTCAATATTAAAACTAAATGTAGGACTTTTTGAGAAAATATAAGTGATAGCTAAGTAAATTAAAGATATACCCTGTTCAATAATAAGAAGGCTCAATATATTAGGAATAGGCATTCTCTACAAAATGTTATCAAAATTTTGTGGAATTCCAATTTAAACAATAAAAGGGATTTTGGGAAACATAAAAGGTGACTCTAAACTTCATATGGAAAACAATACATTTTAAAGAAGTAGAGAAAAAGAATGAGGATTAGTTCTAACCAGATAAAGCTGTAGTTATTAACACAATGATACTGGACTGTGGATATACAAATAGATTAACACAGCAAAATAAGACACAGGCCCATGCATGTATAATTTGTTAAATGACAGCAGTGAAGGGAAGTATCAACTATTTATATGGACTATTGACTCAGTATTTAGGAAACAATATAAAATGTGTCAATTTCTCACACCATGCACAATAAACAGTCCCAGATAGATTAAGGGACCTATGTGTGTAAAATAAACTTTATCCATTTCAGAAGAAAATATAAAATGGTAAATTTATGACATCAGGTTAGAGAAATAATTTCTTAAGCAGAATACAAGGAGAATAAATCTTAAGAGAAACATACATAAATTTGACTACAACAAAATGAAAACTTCTGTTCATCAAAAGAACATTTGAAAAGTTAAAAATTAAAAGCAACTCACCAGGAAATGTTATTTTCAATTCACATAGTCTATAAATGATATTCAATTTGAAGTGCCTACCTTAAATCTGTAAAAATTAAGAACAATAGAAAAATAAGTAAAAGATATAAACAGGCAATTCTATAGAAAGAGTAATCTATAGGGACCCAATAAAAATATGAAAAACTTCTCAATTTCCCTGTAATCAGAGAAATGCAAGTAAAAACTGTGGTGAGATATATTTTATGAAGAAAGGTGATAAAATTTGTCTGAAAATATCAAGAATTGGCAAGAAAATGAAGAAGGGGAATCTTCGTGTGCTATATAGTGCTTGCAAATGGTTACAAACAGTTCCGATTATACAATGCACATTATAAGTAAACCAGAAAAATAATCCTATGTATGTACACCATAGAATAAGAATATGTTTTTTACATATTCACAAGGATATCTATACAGGGTGAGTAACCCCTATCCAAAATGTGTGGGACCAGAAGAGTTTCAGATTTCAGGTATTTTCAGATATTTTAATATTTACATATATGTAATGAAATGACTTAAATGAGCAAATTTATGTTTCATATACACCTTATACACATAGTTTGAAGGTAATTTTATATAATTTTGTTCAGGAAACAGTTTTGACTGCAACCTGTCACTTGAGGTAAGGTATGGAACTTTCCACTTCTGGCATTATGTTGGCTCTCAAAATGTTTTGGATTTTGAAGTATTTCAGATTTTGGATTTTTGGATTAGGGATGCTCAGCCTATATATAAATTTCACGGAAGAATTTTTATAGTCATGAGTTCCCATATACTGGAGAACTAGAGTGACATTAATATAATTGAATTTCACACAAAAAGGAAATTACATTATAATGCATACAACATGTCATTTATACTGTTAAGAAAACATGCAAAACAATGCTATATATTGTTTATAGATACATATATACTTACACAGAAAAAATAAAGAAATGTTTGTAAATGGTAAACACTAAATTCAAGATAGTATTTTCTGGAGAGTCCTTGAATAAGGATAATGCAGTCTTACATGGGTACACATCGGGCAAAGCTCAATTTTATTCAGAATAATTAATTTCAAAGCTCAACATGAACACATGGTCACAGTTTGTTATTTTATTCCTACAGTTACATATTATATTATAAATAAGAAAAATCAAATCAAAGAAGTTGAGTTAGGGATTAAGAAGCAACCAACATATTTTAATACAGTAATTTCATCTTTTACAATGAATTAATGAGAACATCAAAATAAAAAATGAGTAAAATGTAAATACAAAAGGATAAGAAAATGCATAAAGGGACAATGAAGGAAAGAACATATAAAATAATGCAACTAGAGACAAGGATAGAGCAAAAATGGAAAATAAATTGGTTTAAGGAAGCATATATAAAAGGAGTAAAACAAATTGTATATAAGGCACATTCATCAGTTGAGGCATACAGTGTGATGCTCTAGGCAAATTTGAGAATCTTAACATTATAAATAGTAAATATATTTGTTATTTAGGTTGGAGCAGACATCTGTGGATTTGTGGCTGAAACCACAGAAGAACTTTGCAGAAGATGGATGCAACTTGGGGCATTTTATCCATTTTCCAGAAACCATAATTCTGACGGATATGAAGTAAGAGCCTCTTGTTCTCCATGTTGCGAAATAAAAAACAACCATAGTTTTTATTAATGTACTTAAATTAAATCTATAGAGTATATGGTCTGAAAGATTGTAGCATAATTCATAAGACATTGTTAGAAGTCCCTCTCTCAAGTCCTATACATATTTTGTATATTTTTACATTTTTTAAAAAACGGTCAAATAAGGAAATCATGAAATGCAATGTATTCACAGCACAAATATTTTAGTTGAGACTAACGCATAACTGTACAAGTATATTAAGTTACCGGTATTTTAAAGTAGAGCCAAAGCTTTTAGAGTATGAATTCTTGGATTCTAACAATGTAATTTCCAGGTAACTTTTATACAAAGAAAAGTTATAATATACTGTCATGGATTTTGAGTTTGTGTTTAGTTCATGTAAAACAAGAATTTAAAGATAGTCACAAAACAATTAGAGTCCAGCGTCTTTCAATAATAAATAGAACTGGCATAGAGACAAAAACAAAACTAACACTTTTAAAACACGGTTTTGGACTGGTAGGAGCAGAAGTGCCAGACAATACAAAGCTAGTCTACCAGCCGTGGGAACTCAGCATACTGTGGGCTCATGATCATAGGCATGTTTTTCGGAGAGAATAGTAAAATTCAGTTAAACCATTAAGTCAATTAAGTATCTGTTGGTTAAGAAACCGTTCAGTGTTCACACACTGGTTGCATACAGGGCTTATATTGTGTTTGAGAAGAGGGACAACTACTGAGCTCAGCCTGGAAGGAGGCATGATGGAAAAAAATTAAAAGGTACAAATTGGAGATTAGTTTCTTCCTAATACACCGAAATGATACTTTCAGAAAATGTGTGTCCATGGGAGATTTTGATAGAAATTACATGACACTCTGCGTTCACTTGTATTCTCCAAAATGCTGATGATAAGACAGAAATAAATTTTGAAATTTATTGGTGAAATAATGTGAATGACAAAGGGAGTGGGCATGAGAAAATGAGGAGAGCCTGCAGACCACCGTTCAGGTCTGAACTTGATGAAGATGAAGGGAAGGAAGGTGGTTTGGTAGGCAGAATCCCGAATTGCGCCTAGTTCTAACCAAGTTTCAATCAAGTGAGTGGGGAGTCCTTCAGGGAAAGTTGACCACTGACCTTTCTTGCATCTCCCAAGAATAGGCCTGCATGGTGTTCTTACTATGCTCATTCAAGGCTGGGAGCAGCACTGGGAAACATGGTTTTCAGTGCAAACTTAATAGTGGATTCAGGGAGACAGTAGTTGAGGTCTTCAGTTAATATTGTTATCCAAAGCAAGAGGTCTAAACAGGCTTGTCCATATCAGTGTTACTTGGCTGAAGGAGTCACTTATCTACCCTGAGCTCAGTAGAGAGGCTGCACTACAAATTGTAAGTCTACAGGCTGTCCAGGTAGCTCTGTTCACTGTGTTCCTGAGCCAGCAACCTATCTGTGATAATTCTAATAGCAATGGGATAAGACAGTAAGTCCTTAGGCAAGCCCATTTCAAGCCTCTGCTTTAGTGTGTCACATATAATAACATCCTATTGGCCAGAGTAGTTTGCATGACTGAGCGCCACATCGAAGCTTGGGTAGGCACCCTCCACCTTCACTGGTAGGGATTACAACATTCCATGATAAAGGCTGTGGGTACAAGGAAGCATGAAACATTGATTTACAAGATAAAAATTCTATTTTGTAAAAAAAAAATTTATTTTTTCTGTGGCAACGCTTTAAATATGTTGAAATGTCCACTTCAAAATTAAGTTTAATTAAAATATATAACAAAACCTAGAAATATTCATTCAGACACTTTGATGATGAAATAGGAATAATTTTAATTTCTCATAAACAAGCTGAAATTTATGTAGTTGCTTTAAAAAGCAGATTAAAATGCTTCTACTTTAATTTTCACTCATACTTTAGCTTTCTTATTTTAATTTCTCTTTCTATCTCACAGCATCAGGATCCTGCATTTTTTGGGCAGAATTCACTTTTGGTTAAATCATCAAGGCAGTATTTAACTATTCGCTACACCTTATTACCCTTCCTCTACACTCTGTTTTATAAAGCCCATGTGTTTGGAGAAACAGTAGCAAGACCAGTTCTTCATGAGTGAGTACTACGTACAATAATTATAATAATACCTTTTAAAGTATGTTCAAACATACACAGAAAAGTTTAATGGAGGTAAATCAAGATATCAATTAAACTTCTGCTGCTTGTTTTTACATTGGTGTAAATGATTTGAAGAGCTATATAATGATGCCAGTAAATATAATTAATTGGACAATATTTAGGTAGAAATGAGAGAATTAAATAGAACTTACAAGGAAAAGATATATAAAATATGTTAGGATATTATATCAGTAAAGAGATTAAGCATAGAATTTTTAAAAATACATCAACTAAATATTGAAAGTATAAACTAAATATAGATCAAGAGTAGAGTATAAAACTTACAAAAAAGGGAAATTGTGCTCATCTTTGCATGTATCTTTGACCAGAGCAGGGCCTTTCTGTGATGACTTAAAGATCCTTTTAAATTCAGGTAAAAACTAGAGCTTACCACAAAAAAGTTAAGTGAAGAAAGTAGAACATGAAAGATTTCCGATACTTTATGAACCTATCTTATAGGAGAAAATAATTTAACAGAAGAATTTTTGTATAAATAAAAAGTAACCTTGTCATCTGTGATAGATTTTTCTGAGTATGAGATAAACTTTCTCCTTCTCTCTTTTCTTCCTTCCTTCTTCCCTTCCCTACCCCTTTTCTACTTTCCTTCCCTCTGTTCCCATCCCTTCCTCCTATCCTCCCTCCCCTCCTTCTTTCCTTCATTTCTTCCTTTTCCTTTCTCCCTCTTCTACTCCCCCCTTCTTCCTTCTTCCCTTCCTCCCTTCCTTCCTGAGTGTCAGATGAACAATAAAGGATGTAAGAACCATGAATTGAAAATGTCATCTGAAACAAGCACAATTCAAGATAACAACAATTCCCAGGAAAAAACTGAAAAGATAAACTGAACCAGGAATTTGGATAAACTTATTTTTTCATTATTATACTTTAAACATTGTCATTGTTCTTAGGTTTTATGAGGATACGAACAGCTGGATTGAGGACACTGAGTTTTTGTGGGGCCCTGCATTACTTATTACTCCTGTTCTAAAACAGGTAGGCTCTACAGGTTTAATAACCTTATTGTTTGAACTTTGTATAACTAAATCGACCCTACATTACAAAACATCTGAATAATAGATGTTACTCAGTGGACTGTTTCAAGCTGATAAACATCAAGTTGGAATTCTACGATGTGACACAAATTTCAAAATGTTATAAAAATATTAAGTAGATTGCTTACCAAATATGTGATATCTAACTGGGGACAAGAAAATTGTATGAAGTTATTTTTCTCCTGAAAAAAAAAACTGTATTATCAAATCAAAATCAATTCATAATAACAAAGAGTTCTCATTTAAGTAGACATATACATTGAAATTTTGCTCAATTGTAAATAAAGAGGAACTGGAAAACTCGCTGATCAGATGAAAATGTTGGAGAAACACTGGAGTGGGTTGGTAATTATTACCTATTTTTAAAAGGTGCATGTGTCCATTGAGGTATACAGAAATAAACATATTCACATTCACAATGACCATGTGTTTTATAACAATACACATATATGCATGCATTATTTTAATTGCTATCTAAATTACTTTTTTATTTACCTCTTTGCTTTTTTAAGTTTTACAATATGATATTATCTAAAGCTAATAAAATAGCCCTTTGATTATTATCTATAGGAAATATTGGAGTGTAACAACATAAAGTTTTTTTCCCTTGACTATGAAAACCCAACTTAATATTTGATAAGATCCTCCTTGTTAAAAATTGAAATTAAAAAATACATATTATCTTTATTTTAGGGAGCAGATACTGTGAGTGCCTACATCCCTGATGCTATTTGGTATGATTATGAATCTGTAAGTAACCTTAACATACTAATGGACTCACAAGTATTATATTTTCAAACACTTCTACATAGAAACTTAATTCCATAGAAACTTAACTACATAGCATACATATTTTTAGAATTTCTGTCATTACTATAAAAAATAATAATTTCAGACTTTAAAAATGTGTTAAAATTTGTGTAAGTATACCCTTTGTTGCACATGAGCTAGACTCAAATATGAAGTTATATTATTTAGCATAAAGAGATATTATTTATTTTTAAATTTTGGAAATAAAAGGTTAGCAGTAATTTAGGAAGGAGTGGCAACTTATTTTAATGCTTTTTCCTATTTTACATATTTATCTTATTGCCAGAAGACTTGAGTACTGAGCTAGTCTTATATATTTGTTTTTATATGGTATATTCAAATATTTGAAAAAGGCTTTTATTTCAACCTTGAAGAGGCAAAATAACAGCACTCAAATACACCATCCATTTTTTCAATTGAACAAGACCTTTTGAGCAATATTTATTTATTTTTTTTTTTTGAATTTTTTTTTAGTAGAGATGGGGTTTCACCATGTTGGCCAGGATAGTCTCGATCTCCTGACCTTGTGATCCGCCCGCCATGGCCTCCCAAAGTGCTGGAATTACAGGGGTGAGCCACTGCGCCTGGCCTGCAATATTTATTTTAAATGATATTATTTTGCATATCACTTATATTGGCTAAGTATACCCTTTATTTTTACGGAAATAATGATTTTAAGAAAATCCTTCCTAAAGGCATAAACTTTAAACCAAAACAAAGAATAAAAAAGCTAATTAAAGTACTGTTAATTATTGTAGAAAGAAAATGAGTCTCTTTTTGTTGATTTTTTTATTTTTGAGAAAGTGAACTTATTTTTCCTCTACTTTGTTCAGCAAACTGAAAAAAAAAATTCTCCTAAAGTTAGAAAACAATATATTCGTATTCATTTGGATGACATGAATTGCTCATAATAAAAATGCCTTTTAATTCTTGTGAAATAGAGTTTAAAGTCTTCAATAATATTAAGAATGTTTTTAATCTTCCAATTATTAGGGTGCAAAAAGGCCATGGAGGAAACAACGGGTTGATATGTATCTTCCAGCAGACAAAATAGGATTACATCTTAGAGGAGGTTATATCATCCCCATTCAAGAACCAGATGTAACAACAACAGCAAGGTAAAATGAAAAATCATTAGTTGAAATCTAAAATAAAATTCAAATCTTAATATTTCATATTTGCATTAAGAATTAGAGATAATATTTAGTTTCTGCACCAGAAGATATTTGACATACAGAGGTAATACTGAACTATAACCATCATAGCTATAAAAAGAATGAAATTATTTATATTATTATAAATATCTTGATTTTCAAAATTTCTAATTTACTTAGAAGTTAACTTCCTGTATCAAAAATTTACCCACATTAGCATAATTAAAGATAATATTTGATTCTTAATAACTATACAAAATGTGAATATTTGTTATATAATTGAGTGAAGTATTTGTTAATTTTTACATATTTGAATTTCCATACATACATAAATCCCAATGTATTTCTTTCTGCTAAAATGCTTTAAGTTCATAAATGAACTGGATATTTTATGTTAGGTAAAGAGCGAGAGAGAAACTAAATTGCTCACTAAGTGTAAATCTCAGAAATATTTTCTAAAAATAAAAGAAACTTGAAAATGCTGGTGCTCCATTTCACATATTCATTCTGAGTACAAAGAGCACAGAAAGTGCCGTATTGAATTTACATACTTTTCCCTATTCTGCCACAACCCAACAGGAAGTTACTCTTTATTCCTTACCCTACTGTATTTTCTTCATAACATTAAGAATATCTGAAATTATATTATTTATTCTTTTCTTGTATGTAGTATGTTAGCGATACGCATTAGTAATTAGTAATTTAACTGTTTTGGCATTCTGGAATGGACTAGTATCACAATGTAACTGATACAAGAGTATGTTCTCAAAAAATTGTTATACACCAGAGCTGTAATGATCAACAGCAACAAACACTTTGGTAAATGCATACTGGAAGGAATACATCCTATACAGTCCAGGAGATGCCTGGTAAAATGTAACTAAAAAAAAAAACCATATTTCTTGACTACATCTCATTACTCCTGTTATAATCATTTCATTTATAAGATTCTTACAGATTCCACTAAACTTTTTTTAAATTTTAATCATATTTTTTTTTCTCATAAGATGTAGACTTAATACATTGAGATTTAGGATTACACAGGTTGAGTTGAGCCTTAATAAGACATTTAATTTTTCTTGTTTGAATTAAAATATTATATTATTTCAATTTTGCAAGTATCTCAGCCTTCAAAAAATCCATTATTGCATTTATTACATTTATTCTTTTGACTTATTTTCTACATGTATAAATTATTTCGGTATTCACATAAGAACATTGGTATCGGTAAATTATTAATACATATAAATACAAATTTATTGATGTCAATGTCCTTACTGAATTCAGGGCCCATAAAACAGACAGGTTGAAGTGGACTTGTTTATAGGATATTGTATTATTATGGATTTATTTTTAACCATATATGCACCTAATTTTTCTTAACAGCCGTAAGAATCCTCTAGGACTTATAGTCGCATTAGGTGAAAACAACACAGCCAAAGGAGACTTTTTCTGGGATGATGGAGAAACTAAAGGTAAGTCTGAAAGTAATACGCTTTAAATGTTCACTCTGATAATGGGAAGTTTTGGCTTTATTGATATAGGTTGTATCATTTTTTAAATATCACGAATTTTTATTTTTAATTCCTAATGTTTTTTATCTGTTTCAGGCTTTTAGGCTACTTTAAAACTTTTAACATTGTTATTTGCTTTATCTATATGTAACTAAAATATCCAGTTTTGTGCTTTTGTTTGTTGTAAGTCTTTGGCAAGATTTTTAATCTATCTTTATCTATTAGATTAAAATAGTCAATAAATTCTCAGATATACTAATTGCATTATATTTTCAACTGTTTTAAAGTAAGGTAGTGATTATAACTAAAATTTTGTTACTGTAAACAGAAAATAAAACCAACATTTAAAGATTTAGTTATTTAATGTCAAATTATTTGAGGTAAGAATATCATCGTATCAATTGTTTACAATTTATTTTCCTTATTATCTTTAATTGAATTTCTTGAGCTCCAAACTTGGGAATTCAGTATACCAAACAAAATGTTTAAAAGTAATCTTCTGCTATGGTATTTCTAATTATGCCATAGTAAGTTTGTCTATTTGTATTTAACTATTCACTTACAATTTTCCTTATACATTTTTAGAAACTTTTTAGAAAAATCTCGTTTCTTCTAATAGAGGGCTGTTAGGTATGTGTTTTATATATGAGTATAAAAATTATAATTTATCTTCTATTTTAATTAACTACTTCTCAGGTGTATTAAGGAATATCCTTGTACAAATTTTAAAGAGTTACAGATAAATATAGGAAGGACAACAAGAAGAAAAAGACTATCCTAAATGCCTTTAAATGTATATGAAACATGTGAATATTTATTTATTTTTGAAAATGTGTATATTTAAAAATTACCACAGGATTCTATAATTCTCTCCTAAGACTTACATTCACCCTCAGTTAACATTCATTTAAATAAATTACATTTATTTATGGCATTATTTCAATGTATTAGCAATCAAACTTATTCTAAGGAAAGATCTATTCTCTGGGTGATTTTCTCAATGCAAGCTATGAATTACTTGTATCATTAACAGCTATTAATTATAAATATTCTCTGTCTTTTAATTATTACTATTCTTTACCAGTAGTCCTTTCCTTGATAAATGTAGTCTTTTATACCATTTACCTGACTTTCAAATTTATATCTCCAAACCAGTCTTCTATGTACTTCTCTATTTGTTTGTCTAATAAAAATCTAAAACATAATCTGCCAAGATAGAACTTGGATCTTACCACCATGTATCTGCTCCATCTATCGTGTTCCCTTTGTCAGTTGATGGTAACTTCATTGCTACAGATGCCAACACCTTGGAATGGGCTATTATCTCTCACAACCTAAGGATTTCATTGGTTCTACTTTGATCTGAAGCCTCTCATCAGTTCCCCCACTGTCACCACCATCTTTCATGTTAATTTAGGGCAATAACTTCCTAACTGGCCTGTAGCTCTTTTTAACCCCTTTTAAAATTTTATTACAATCCAGCAGGTAGAGTAATCATTTTAAAAGGTGATTCCAGTAATTGCATCTCTTCTCAAAACCTTCTAATGATCCTCCATTTTACTCAGTTAGGAGACGGAGTTTTATCGAGACCTAGAGAGCTTATTATTTGTGCTTTAACATGTGCACACGTGCATGCACGCACACACATACACGCACCCACACACACACAAACACATTATCCTGTATTGCTTTCTATTTCTCATTCAATTTTAGCACACCAATCTTCTTGCTCTTTCTTAAATACCCTGGGGTGTAAGCACACTAGGGTGAGCTCTCCTGTGAGATTAGATTCCAAACCTATTCTCTGGCTTATGTAGTAAGCCAAAACTTAGTACATAGAAGTTTTGTAAAAGTGGATTTCAGCTGAACTTAACATTGCTTGTAGTCATCAATCAAACAATGTTGAGATAATACCTCCATTGATAGCATGTGTGGAGCAATTATAAGATTATTCCTATTACTCAAATTATATAAATACTCCAAATACATACTGTCTACTGATAAAGATGCATATGAATAGCTTACTTTCATATAAGTAAGTAGTTAAGAATATGAATAATATAATTCAATCAGTTATCTAATATGATACCTATGTAGCTATGTGCATTTAAAAAGTGAAAGAAAACCAGAATTCTGATTAATGGATTTGTAAGCAAACATGGAGACAGTAAAGTGATCTTCAGTTCAGGTTCTGAATATAATATTATTTCCTAGGACTAAAATTTTAAGCAAATTAATGTTATGGAAAGTATATTATATGAATCCTAGGATTCCCTTTATATTTTAACACTGTTTATGACAAACTATTTCAGTCCTTATCTTCAGTTTTTCTTTAAAGAGATACATTGAATAAAAGTTATATTACATATATGGTACAGAATCATTGTATTCATCCATTTTCCTCATTAAAGTTTATTTAAATTTCAGACTAAAGTTTATTTCAATCTTCAACATGTCTCCAGATTTATTGTTTTCCTTGAATAAAAAATAATAGAAAAAAATAAAAAGATGCAAAATGTATTATAATATGCCATGTCTTCCTAAGAAAAATGTACTGTTATGAGGTTTACAAGGGAGAGAATATCTTTCAAAATAATACATTTTTAATTATATATTATTTACTGTAAGTTTTGCTTTCTCTTAATTTCCAGAAATACCTTGGTAGTCTTTGAAAAAATAAGCAAGGCAAATATGTATTCATTACCTCTACTTGCTGTGAAAATGAAATACCATTATTATATAATTTAGAGACAATTAAAAAATTTAAAAACAAAATCTGTTTGGGATGCTTCATTAATAAACAGCATCTAGTTTGTTCAAATTTCTTAAGTGTTGTATAAGTGTAAAACCAGAGCAGAGAATTTAACATTGCATTTTGTACTGATCACGATATTTTTCATTTCAGATACAATACAAAATGGCAACTACATATTATATACATTTTCAGTTTCTAATGTAAGCACTCTCTTTGTACATATACTTAAATGCATAATTTGTTCATGCCTAGGTTATTCTTTTATGATAAATTTTTTGGAAAAGATGTTTACATTTGCCTACAGATTTTAATGGAATGTAATGAAATAAATTGTTCAATTAAATTGTTATATTTAAATTGTTAAATTATAAATAAATTGTTACCTTAAAATTTTATAAAGTTTGTGACCATGTAATTGATGGAAAGAAACCTTTAGACTTCTTGACATGTTATGATTGGTTTTAGGCAACATGCCCTAGGAAAACAATTTCAACATATCTGAAAATGTTTTAATGAATTAGTCACAGTAATAATTGGTGTGGATTTTGGTTTATTAAATTTTGAATAGTTAATAGAAATGATTTTTTCATAGATTTTGGGTTTTTTCATACATTCTTCTTTAGCAAAGCTAAATTATTCTTCATCAATGTTAGGACTAGAATGAGTATATATGTGTTGCATATGAGTAATTAAGGTTATCTCTGAAAATAAAATTTTCTGGCATATATATAAAAATGAAAATAGATATTAATGAGTATATTTCTATGTGCTACTTGGATGAGGAGAGCTGGTGGGAATAGAGATGTAGATGATGACCTTTTTTTGCTATTTCTTATCGGTATTGTTATTTCAGGTTTGTATCTGATGACCTAATATATAATATCTTATACTATTTTTCTCAGAACACATTAGATATTGTGTGCACACATTCATCATATCAGGAAGGAACTACCTTAGCATTTCAGACTGTAAAAATCCTTGGGTTGACAGACAGTGTTACAGAAGTTAGAGTGGCGGAAAATAATCAACCAATGAACGCTCATTCCAATTTCACTTATGATGCTTCTAACCAGGTAATTACAATCTTTTAAAATATTTTAGCTATCATATAATCTCATATTTAATATTATATAACCATTCAGGCACTTATCCTATTTCTCCTCACAGTGTGTATTCCTTTCTTCCCTTCGTTGCTTCCTTCTTCCCTTCATTTTTTTCTTCACTTTTTCTGAACAATATTCCAATTTATGTCAATCCAATTTGTATTTAGATATCAACATGAAGGGAATTCCTTGCTATTTCTCTCTATATATTTCATTTTCTCATGCATTCTAATTATATGGGACTTTCTAATATTTTCCATAAAAATTCTTCAAATCTGAACTCTAACCTACCTATTGCACGCAAAAGAAAATCCCAAATGTTTTAGCTGCTTTAGACTCTTTAACAAATTGGTTTTGTTCATTTCTTTAGTCTTTCTCCTGTTTCTTTTTTAGTGAGGTCTCATTGTCCTCAAAATATATCTTGTACTTTTCTAACTTTAATTTTGTGTTTACACTTTTCTTCTCCTGTAGAAAGCCTTCCTTATATTGTGATTTTTGTCTCTTTTTACAGTTGTAGTATAGAGGGGAAAAAATAACAAAATTGGATGCACTGTTATTGGATGCACAGATTATAACTCTGCTATCTCTGCTTCTAAACGCATTAAATCAATCTCTCATTATTTTAGCTTTCTCATTTGCAAAATGTAATATTTCAATCATAATGTTGCTTTGGGTAGTAGATTGATGTATTAAAAAAGAGACTGTAGTATTTAAAAACACGAAAGCAATTATTTTTGTCATTTATCTTTTCTCCATTTATATAATACTAAATTATTAGTAATATTACCATAAATAATTTCTAAATTATTTAAGATATAGAACATTGTCTTATAATATTTTTGTTTTAACTCATAAGACCTCTGGCCCAGGGCTTTTCAATTATTAGTTTTCAGAAAATATGTACTGGTCAATTATTTTTTATTTAATAGGCATATTATGATTTATATTTCCTAGCACTATAAGAATAAATTGATATAAATTAAGTAATACAAGCTTATTGTGAACTTTATGACTCTAATAGAGATTAAAAGAGGGAATAATAAAAAATAATTTTATTGGTTATGTATGCAATATAAAGGTCTATCTGTGGCTATTTGTATGTCCACTTTTATGCTTATAAATATATATATATTATATATATATAATCTTCATAATTCTGCTGTGTATACCTTCATAATTCTGCTGTGCATAGATTGATCTTTATATGAATTTTCATTCCTTAAAGTTTTGCAATTATGTTTGGTGGGTATCAAAAAGTAAGCTATGCAGATGAAAATCTAGGTGTGGGATAAATCTTGCTCACATTATTCCCAAGGCATATAAGCAATAATCAAACATAATTTTGAAATCCCAATTATAGACATAATTCTATGTGTGTGACATATGTACATATATGTATATATATACATAAATACACACATATATATTGCATATATATTTTCTGTTTTTCTAGTATTTTATCAAAACTATTAATGATTTAATTTGAAGAATTGCCCTCGTTGCCACATTTTGTGAAATGTAAAATGTTTTTTTAAATCATCCAATGATCAGATACAGTGTTTAATGTTTTTGTTTGTTTGTGTTTTTTTTTTCTTTTTTTCTTTTTTTTTTTTTGTCTTCAAAGGTTCTCCTAATTGCAGATCTCAAACTTAATCTTGGAAGAAACTTTAGTGTTCAATGGAATCAAATTTTCTCAGAAAATGAAAGATTTAATTGTTATCCAGATGCAGATTTGGCAACTGAACAAAAGTGCACACAACGTGGCTGTGTATGGAGAACGGTAATAATAATTTTAACTATTACTCATGATATGGTTATCACATAAGCATTTTGGTGCAAATTTTACATATTATAATTTTAAATCTGCAGCATATAAACTAAATTCAAGTAGATAATCATTTGGAATTTGAAGTTAGCATCTCTGACAGGCAATTCACTTTTATCTTAATTAATTATCCAAAGACATATCTTAGTAAACGCCAGGCTGAATTGATGTGTAAATTGCTTTCCAGGAACTTTGGATAATGTAACTTTACTTAAAAAAATAATACTCTGTCTGAGAGTTACACTCTACTTGGTGTTGACTGTAGCTGATTTGCTTGTTTGGGTAAGATATGCCAGTAGTGGACACTATTTTGAAAGAGTTGTCTCAAGTTATTAAGACATATGATGTTGAGTAACGGGCTACTTCTCTTCCACTAAGGATGATAATCTCTTGCCAGTTATTTTGGCTTTCATTTTAACAAAATGATGATGGCTGAGGATGGCAGGTGTTTTTACCAATGTCACAGGAAGGACATTGTAAAACATTCCTCTTGCTATGCCTGTTTTTCAAATTCTGGGCTTTTCATTACATCATTGAGTTTTGTCAACAAATATATTTATTTAATATAACCAAATAACTAAATGCATCTGTTATATCACTGAGGCGAGTCAAGACATATTTGTCAGCAATTTCCCAGAGACATTTACATTTGTATAAAGAGATGCATAGAATCTCTGCCTCCAGAGAAATTATCCCAATTTCTCTCCATTAATTGTTAAAGCAGCATAATCTGTATCACTAGTGAAGAATAGGGAAGAATATAAGAACAGAAAAAGTAAGGAGAAGAAAAGATTCTAAAATCAATAAAAGTCAAATAGTGAAGTTCACTTCTCTAAACCTTCTCTTAAGTTGCCTCTTTTCAGCCAAATACACATCCATTCCCCTTTGCATTCAAAGTATGCTAACTTTATCAAAACGAATATAAAGGACAGGTGGGAACAATTCATTTTGCTAAAGAATAAATATCTTCTAAACATGAAAATGTGAAATTTTATCTTTCCTATTAAATAATTTTAATGTTATATATATATATAAGGCTAATGTTACATATATATACATATATATGTATATATATACATATATATGTATATATATACACCACAGTTTTTTTATCCACTCATTGATTGGTGAACATTTGGTTTGGTTCCACATTTTTGCAATTGCAATTGTGCTGCTATAAACATGCACGTGCAAGTATCTTTTTTGTATAATTACTTCTTTTTCTCTGGGTAGATACCCAGTAGCAGGATTGCTGGATCAAATAGTAGTTCTTCTTTTAATTCTTTAAGGAATCTCCACACTGTTGTCCATAGTGGTTGTACTAGTTTACATTCCCACTATCAGTGTAGAAGTGTCCCCTTTTCACTGAATCCATGCCAACATCTATTTTTTTTTTATTTTTTGATTATGGCCATTCTTGAAGGAGTAAGGTGGTATTACATTGTTGTTTTAATTTGCATTTACCTGATCATTAGTGATGCTGATCATTTTTTCATATGTTTGTTGGCCATTTGTTCATCTTTTCTTTTGAGATTTGTCTATTCATGCCTTTAGTCCACTTTTTGAAGGGATTGTTTGTTTGTTTTTTCCTGCTAAATTATTTGAGTTTGTTGTAGATTCTGGATATTCGTTCTTTGTCAGATGTATAGATGGTGAAGATTTTCTCCCACTCTGTGGGTTGTCTGTTTACTCTGCTGACTGTTCCTTTTGCACTGCAAAAGATCTTAGTTTAATTAAGTCCCAGATGTTTGTCTTTGTTTTTATTGGATTTGCTTTTGTTTTTGGTCATCAAATCCTTGCCTGAGACAATTTCTAGAATGCTATCTTCTAGAATTTTTGTAGTTTCTGGTCTTAGATTTAAGTCCTTAATCCACCTTGAGTTGACTTTTGTGTAAGGTGAGAGATGAGAATCTAGTTTTATTCTCCTGCATGTGGCTTGCCAATAATCGTAGCACCATTTGTTGAATAGGATGTCCTTTCCTCACTTTATGTTTTTGTCTGCTTTATCGAAGATCAGGTGGCTCTAAGTATCAGGGTTTAATTCTGGGTTCTCTATTCTGTTCCATTGGTCTATGTGATTATTTTTATACAGTACCATGCTATTTTGGTGACTATGGCTTTATAGTATAGTTTGAAATTAAGTAATATGATGCCTCCAGATTTGTTCTTTTTGCTTATTCTCACTTTTGCTATGCATGGTCTTTTTTGGTTCCATATGAATTTTAGGATTGTTTTTTCCAGTTCGGTGAAGAATAATGATGGTGTTTTGATGAGGATTGCATTGAATCTGTATATTGTTTTGGCAGTATGGTCATTTTCACAATATTCTTTCTATCCATCCATGAGCATGGGATGTGTTTCCGTCTGTGTCATCTATAATTTCTTTCAGTAGTGTTTGTAGTTTTCCTTGTAGAGGTCTTTCACCTCCTTGGTTAGGTATACACCTAAGTATTTTAGTTTATTTTATTTTCTGCAGCTATTGTAAAAGAGGTTGAGTTTTTGATTTGATTCTCACCTTGGTTGTTTTTGGTTTATAAAAGAGCTACTGACTTCTGTACGTTAATTTTGTATCCAAAAACTTTGCTGAACTATTTTATCAGTTCTAGGAGCTTTTTGGAGGAGTCTTTAGGGTTTTCTAAGTAAACAATCATATCATCAGCAAAGAGCGACAGTTTGACTTCCCCTTTACTGATTTGGATGCCATTTTTTTCTTTCTCTTGTCTGATTGCTCTGGCTAGGACTTCCAGTACTATGTTGAAAATAAGTGAGAATGGCCATCTTTGTCTTGTTCCAGTTCTCAGAGAGAATGCTTTCAACTTTTCCCCATTCAGTATTACGTTGGCTGTGGGTTTGTCATAGACGGTTTTTATTATGTTGAAGTATGTCCCTTGTTTGCCGATTTTGCTGAATGCTGGATGTTTAAAATGTTTTTCTGTGTCTATTGAGATGATCCCGTGATTTTTGTTTTTAATTCTGTTTATGTGGTGTATCACAATTATTGACTTGCATATGTGAAACCATCCCCGTATCCCTAGTATGAAACCCACTTGGTCATGTTGGGCTATCTTTTTGATATGTTGTTGAATTTGGAATTTGGTTAGCCAGGATTTTGTTAAGGATTCTTGCATCTATGTTCCCAGGGATATTGGTCTGTAGTTTTCTTTTTTGGTTATGTCCTTTCCTGGTTTTGGTATTAGGGTGATACTGGCTTCATAGAACAATTTAGGGGGGATTCCCTCTTTCTCTTTCTTGTGGAATAACGTCAATAGATTGGTACCAATTATTCTTTGAATTTCTGGTAAAATTCTGCTATGAATCCATGTGGCCCTGGACATTTTTTTCTTGGTAATTTTTATTACCATTTTAATCTCACTTCTTGTTATTGATCTGCTGAGGTTATCTAATTCTTCCCGATTTAAGGTTGTGTCATTCCAGGAATTTATCCATCTCTTCTAGGTCATCTAATTTATGTGTGTAACGGTGTTCATAGTAGCCTTGAATGATCTTTTGTATTTCTGTGGTGTCAGTTGTAGTATCTCGCATTTCATTTCTAATTGAGCTTATTTGGACTTTCTCCTTTTCTTGATCAATCTTGCTAATGATCTATGAATTTTATTTATCTTTTCAAAGAACTAGATTTTTGTTTCAGTTGTCTTTTGTATTTTTTTGTTTCAATTTCATTTAGTTATGCTCCAATCTTGGTTATTTCCTTTCTTCTTCTGAGTTTTGGTTTGATTTGTTCTTGTTTCTCTAGTTCCTTGAAGTGTGACCTTAGATTGTCTATGTGTGCTCTTTCAGACTTTTTGGTGTAGGCATTTAGGGCTATGAACTTTCTTCTTAGTACTGCGTATGTTGTATCCCTGAGGTTTTGATAGGCTGTGTCACTATTGTCATTCAGTTAGAAGACTTTTTAAATTTTCAACTTGATTTTATTTTTGACCCAATGATCATTCAGGAGCATATTATTTAATTTGCATGTATTTGCATGGTTTTGAAGGTTCCTTTTGGAGTTGATTTCCAGTTTTATTTTACTGTGGTCTCAGAGAGTGCTTGATATAATTTCAAATTTCTTAAATTTATTGTGCCCTATCATACAGTCTATCTTGGAGAAAGTTCCATGTGCTGATGAATAGAATGTATCTTCTGTGGTTGTTGGGTAGAATGTTCTGTAAATATCTGTTAAGTCCATTTTTTCTGGGGTATGGTTTAAATCCATTGTTACTTTGTTGACTTTCCATCTTGATGATCTGTCTAGTACTATCAGTGGAGTATTGAAGTCCTCCACTATTACTGTGTTGCTGACTCTCTCAATTCTTAGGTCTATTAGTAATTGTTTTATAAATTTGGGACCTCCAGTGTTAGGTGCATATATATTTAGGATTGTGATATTTTCCTGTTGGACAAGGCCTTTTATCATTTTATAATGTCCATCTTTGCCTTTTTTAACTGCTGTTGCTTTAAAGTTTGTTTTGTCTGATATAAAAATAGCTACTTCTGGCTTTCAGTGTTCATTTGCATGGAATGTTTTTTTCTACCCCTTTATCTTGAGTTTGTGTGAGTCCTTATGTGTTAGGTGAGTCTCTTGGAGGCAGCAGATAGTTGGTTGGTGAATAGTTATCCATTCTGTAATTCTGTGTCCTTAAAGTGGAGCATTTAGGCCATTTACTTTCAATGTCAGTATTGAGATGTGAGGTACCATTCCATTCATTGTGCTATTTGTTTCCTGTATACCTTGTTTTTTTATTATGTTTTATAGGTCCTGTGAGATTTATGCTTTAAAGAGGTTCTGTTTTGATGTATTTCTAGGATTTGTTTCAAGATTTAGAGCTCCTTTTAGCAGTTTCTGTAGTACTGATTCTGGTAGTGGACAATTCTCTCAGCATTTGTTTGTCTGAAAAAGGTTATATCTTTCCTTCATTTATGAACCTTAGTTTTTCTGGATACAAAAGTCTTGGCTGATAATTGTTTTGTTTAAGGAGGCTGAAGACAGCGCCCCAATCCCTTCTAGCTTGTAGGGTTTCTGCTGAGAAATCTGCTGTTTTCTTTTATAGGTTAGCTAGTGCTTTTGCCTCACAGCTCTTAAGATTTTTTCCTTCATCTTAACTTTAGATAACCTGACAGCAATGTGTCTAGGCAATGACCTTTTTGCGATGAATATCCCAAGTGTTCTTTGAGCTCTCTTGTATTTGGATGTCTAGATCTCTAGCAAGGCCAGGGAAGTTTTCTTTGATTATTCCTTCAAATATGTTTTCCAAATTTTTAGATTTCCCTTCTTCCTCAGGAACACCAGCTATTCTTAGGTTTGGTCATTTAACATAATCCCAGACTTCTTGCAGGCTGTGTTCATATTGTCTTCTTCTTTTTTCTTTGTCTTTATTGGATTGAGTTAATTCAAAAACCTCATCTTGAAGCTCTGAAGTTCTTTCCTCTGCCTGTATGATTCTATTGCTGAGACTTTCATTTCTGTGTTTAAGGCCATGTGGTAGCATGATATCATCAACGAAATAAGCTTGAATAGATGAGAAGTGTTCAAAGACTAAACCCTGGGCGATTACAAACTTTAGCCAAGGAGGAAATGACAAAGGAGGCTTAGAAAGAACAGCTCAAGTATTGGGTTGGAAATAACATGCTGGGTCCTGGAAGCCAATTGAACAAAGCATTTAGAATGGAAGAAATGATCAACTATGCAAATTGTTTGTCAGTAAGATAAGGACTGGAAACTGACATGTGGATTTGGCAACATGGAAGTCTTTGGTAACTTTAACATGCAAACATTAGATGTAGTACTAGGGATAAAAGCCTAGTTAGAGTGAGTTCAAGAGAAAATCAAGGGACAAATTAGAGATAGTGAGTATGTTTTGCTGTAAAGAAAGCAGAAAAAATAGAACAGTAGTCAGAGAAGTTACTGAAGTGACATTTACTCTAAAAAAATGAGAAAAATAAAATCAGTTTATGCTGTTAAAAATAACATAATGAATGAAATATTATTGATGCAAGAGAGAGGGTGGAGAATTGAGGGAGAAATATTTTTATAGGTAAGGAGGCCTGGGATAGGGTACACAGATGAAATTGTTCACTTTAGATAGAAGCCAGACAGTACACCCTTAAGAAGATGAGTCAAACAGAGTATCTCAATTTAGTCAGCTTAGGCCCCTTTCTTTTAAAGAGCTTTTATGAGGACTCACACAACTTCTTTAAAAGGAAATTGGAAATGTAGATAAATATAATATTTCTCTCCAAAATATAATAATTTAATAAACAAGGAAGATAGGGAGAATGGATTGTGGTATGGCAACCAGCCATCAATGCCAGAGTTTATAATTCTTTTTCTTAGGTTTTATCTCTCACTTCTATGTTAAACCAATCAACTCTGATTCTTGGCCAGGGTTCCTATTTCAAATCCAGGTCAGGATGTAATTAACCAGTATAAGAACATGTTAAAAAAAGAAGGATTGAGAGTTTCATTATAAGTAACAGAATTCTAGCACTTGCCCTTTAGAGGCATGTTATAATGCCATTTTTATACACAATAATCAACAATCAATATGAACAGTAAGAACAAACATGGAATCAAAATTTATTAGTAATATACTTGCTTTTGCAGACAACACAATTTAATGCTATTTTTTGAGTTAAAAAATGTATGACATTTGATCCTTCTGCTCTACCATTCTTTCTCTAGAGTGTAAATGTAAATATTTTGTATAAAATTTTAGTACATGGGATCCCAAATTGCATAAAATATATTTTGTGTTATAACTGTTATTTCATTTTTGTATTAATGAAACTTGTAAATCATACAATGTGTGACTAAACGTCAGTATAATTTTAAAGAGTAAAATATTACAAGGCTTATAATTTCTGGCAATGAACATGCATTGTGTTTTTAGGGTTCTTCTCTATCCAAAGCACCTGAGTGTTACTTTCCCAGACAAGATAACTCTTATTCAGTCAACTCAGCTCGCTATTCATCCATGGGTATAACAGCTGACCTCCAACTAAATACTGCAAATGCCAGAATAAAGTTACCTTCTGACCCCATCTCAACTCTTCGTGTGGAGGTGAAATATCACAAAAATGATATGTTGCAGTTTAAGGTATGCTTGATATAAACTACCCCAAAGCTTAACTCATCTTGTGAGATGAGATTTTGAATAATCCTGTGATTGATATTTAATGTAATATTAAAGGTTATTAACAGATTTGATAATATTTTGATTTTATAAAAATATTTTTTCCTACACAACTCATAGCTAGGTGCCCAATAAATGAAACTGCTCATTCCTGCTAACTTTGTGATTAATACAATGATGATTTTAAAAATAAATTTAAATTCTTACAAAATACATAAGTCATTTATTATCAAACTATGCTGATAGTGTCATTAAAATAAACAAAATTGGATGCCTACTGTTTCCATTATTTTTAAGTTGTGGTCTTAATTTTCTGGCCAATGCAATAAGACATACCAAAGCAATAATTTCATTCAACTTTTAGAGATAGCATTTTTTAACTTAAGAATTCCAAAGGAATCCATTAAGAATAGTATTAGAAATTTAAAATATCAACAAAATAACTAGATGTAAAATTATATTTCCAAAGATATTTTCTTGTGTATTATTGCTCATTATTTAGAAGCAGAAATGGCAACAAATCTCATTAGCAAACTCAAATGAAAAAATCAAATAATAAATCATCAAAAATTATAGGACTAAGTGGAGTATCTGTAAGGAGAAAAACTATTAAAAATGTTCATATTAAGTATTTTAAAATTATAAATAAGAGTAAACGATATTTTAAATGTTAATTCACTTTAGCTCAGTCGCTGCTTTTAAAGTATTTTCATATAAATCTTAGTGAAATATCTTTTGAGACTTCATAAAATAACTTTTAAGTTTGTCTGAAAAAATAAACACCTTGCAATTGTTAAAATTCAGCAATGGGTAAAGAATAAAAATTCATACAATTAAAACAGTGTGGAACTGGAGATAGCATTGCCTGGTTGTTTATTGAAACGAGACGGCACAAAAGCATGGAAGATTTTGTGTGTGTGTGTGTGTGTGTGTATGTGTGATGGCACAAAAGCATAGAAGATTGTGTGTGTGTGTGTGTGTGTGTGTGTGTGTGTGTGAGATGGCACAAAAGCATAGAAGATGTGTGTGTGTGAAGAAAGGTTCACAAATTAATAATGAAGAGGTAGGTTATTTAAAAATTTATATAAAAAAGTGTCTGTTTTTAATCATATGCTAAAATAAAATTTAGAATGAGTTCCATGTGAAAACTAAACATAAGCCTAAAATAAATTTAGCTGCATATTTATTTTGTATCTGGCTAGCAAAGGCCTTTCAAGCCACAGATAAAAAGGCGTTAAGTGACATAGGTAAAAATCTACACATTTTCTAACATAAAAATAAAATATGTTTTCACATCAAAAAACACTATAAACAATTAGAGGACAAAAAAATGGGTAAACATCTGATAAAGATGTGACATAGGGAAAGCAATTCCAACTCATGTAATCAAGAAAAAATATCAAGACCTCTCATAAGAAGATATTTAACAGAAGAAACTAAAATATCAACATAATTACACTCATTAAAAATTCCAGGAGCAAAATGCAGTTTAAAGTACAGTGGAACATAAATGTTGAATAATAATGTAGAAAAAGATGAAACCTCATAAGTAGGAAATGAAATGATTAACAATGAAAAATAAATGCTTTTAATTTAACATAAATTAGCATTAGAGTACACATTTTGGTGAGAATATTAATCAGTAAACAAATTCTGGAAAGCAGTTTGTCAATAGTTATCAAAGACCCTAAAACGGTAAGTATACTCAGACCCTAGTGGTATTTAAGAAATGTGCTGAAGAAATAAAAACACAAATAAACATAAATTAGCATTAGGGTTTATTGTATAATAATATGTATGACAAAAAATATTGAAACAACTTCTGTTTTTAACCATGAAATAATTTTGGTATACCCATACAACAGAATATTTAGCTCTAAAATTTTTGTTTTGATTTCTTATTATTTAGAAAACAAATCACAAAACATTTTTTAAAGGTTCAAAAATGCAGTATTCAGTTAGGACCCATTATAAATGTGTATGTGGAATTCTATATTGATATGGTTATATGGACCATGAATGTAGAATTAGAAATTATGTGGAGAAAAATTCTAAATATTCTTGTTTGAGCCATTATTTAACTTAGTTCATGATATGTACATGCTATGTCAGCAATCAGAATAAACTTTTTTACTACTTATCTGCAATAGATTTATGATCCCCAAAAGAAGAGATATGAAGTACCAGTACCGTTAAACATTCCAACCACCCCAATAAGTACTTATGAAGACAGACTTTATGATGTGGAAATCAAGGAAAATCCTTTTGGCATCCAGATTCGACGGAGAAGCAGTGGAAGAGTCATGTAAGTAATTGAATTATTTGATATAAAGGATATTTTAATTTTAGCTTACGAAGGGAAAAGTAAAATGATTAACAGCCTTCACTGTCCTAGAGTAGCATCACACAAAAAAATTTAAGACGTGTTAAATAACTTTGCCCATTTTAATATTTCTAGCTAAACATAGTCCATGGGACTATTTTAAAGGATTGGCCCACAATTTTATCTACACTTTGGAGGTGTTCAATTTCACTATTAGTATCAGACTCATTCTTCTAATCAAGTTGAGAACCAAAACCAAAACCTCTTTTAAAAAGCATGATAAGTGTTGGCAAAAATAAGTATTTGGAAACAAGTGAAGTAAATATTTTATTGAAACTGTTGAAATAGTTTATTGGTGCTTGAATCTGATAGAATTAATAATTTATCTGCCAGGTATTAGTGAAAATAAGTTACAACATGTAAGTCTAGATATATTTTTATGTTACAATGAATAAATTTAATTTTAAAATTGTAGTCTTTATTTTATTCAAAAGATCTATAAACTATAATATATTAAAATATACTTTTATGTAATTTAAGTTTGCCATGCCATTCCTTAGATGATGTTATCAGGATGTTTTCTGGTATTGTCAAGATATGTACAAATAATATCTAAAACTATATCTGGATTATTTTAATAATTTTGTTGTTATGACAATATTTTTGTTCAAAAGCATGGGAAGCTAAGTCATTTTATAAAAATATCCTGGTGCAAGGGCATTATTTATTGTCATTTGACAAGCATTATTCTCGATTAAATAGTTTTCCAAAATAATAAATATAAAAAGTTAAAATATGCCCAGATTACTTGTAATACTTACGCTTCCTCTCCTTGCCCATGTTACTTTCCTTCCTCTTTATGTTCTTCTTGCAAATGAGTTGAATAATAATATGTTTCTTGTAACACATTTCTTCATACACAGCTATTTTTATGAACATAAAATAAAGGAAGAAAAACACAATTGGGAGTAGTAATAGGAGAGAGTTAAACATTTGAATATCTGTTAAACTTAAAATTCATTATAATATTGATGTATTTTTATTCCATATGTAGAAAAAAATGTATTGTGATTATCTCAAGGGAGCAGGAAAATTGAGGCCTTTTAATTTCTAGGTCACACATTACTAAGTCATTTATGATTTCATATTAATTTTATTTTTAAAAGGAATACTTGTCTAAAGAAAAACATGTACAATCATATTATTTATATTATGATTCTCCTATAAGTATATGAAGCATATTTTACATATTCCTTAACTTAGCTAAAAGAAAACATGTATTAGATTAATCATCTATTTCCATTTGGTACCTGGGTATAATTAGGAATATGGAAAATAATATTGATTTTTAGATAATCTAAGAAAGAATTACCGTTATTATTTGTGATACTACTTTGCATATATTTTGACAGACATAGCTTTGTTTTCTTTTGTTTTCAGTTGGGATTCTTGGCTGCCTGGATTTGCTTTTAATGACCAGTTCATTCAAATATCGACTCGCCTGCCATCAGAATATATATATGGTTTTGGGGAAGTGGAACATACAGCATTTAAGCGAGATCTGAACTGGAATACTTGGGGAATGTTCACAAGAGACCAACCCCCTGGTGTAGGTACCAACATATGACCACTCCACGAGGCAACTAAGACCATGAGTAGAATCCAAGCCACTTCTTTATGGGCCTGTGCTTTAGGATTGAAGTAATGACAAAGGCATTAGCTAGAGATCTCCAGAGCAGCTATAGCAATTTTCTGAGAAACAAACCCAAAAAGTCACCATAAATTACAGGTGGAAGTAGAGGAGTGGATGGATAACAATTTGCTTGACTACTGTGAGAAGCCAGGCTTTGACTCAATACCTTAACTGTTTCAAATGCATACAAAGAATATGCTGATTCTGTATTCCCTGTCAAGTTTACCTTTACTCCAGCTTTTAGAAAATAACTGCCTAAAGTTTTCCTTGATTGTTTTTACTTCTCAGGTACTGATTTGATCTTTTTTCCCTTTATAACCTTCAGTTGCAGTTGGGTAACTTTATGTGGCCAAAGTGCTAATTACATCTTTACAATGTGTTTTTATATACTCATGACTCTTTTTCCAAAGATTTGTCTCGTTAATGCAACACATTTTATGAATATTTAATGTACTGTGCAACAAATAATATTATCTATAATATTCCAAACATATCATAAAAAATATATTTTAATGAAAATTATTCTATTTGTATTTTTCACATGTGATGTATACTTAAAAGGATATACTCAGTACCATACTATAAGTCTGTGAACTATTGTAAGCATTTTTTATTGTTAGGTGCTCAAACAGCTTGCATTTATATCATAATACTCCAAACTTAGGTTATTGAAGGCTGTTTTCTATTAACACTAACTTGAAAGAATACATTTTACCAAAACTGATTTCTTAAAATCCCTTCAGCATTTGTACCGATATTATTAGACTAATATACTTTTGATTCTTGATATCTAAAATTACTTCCACTAGTAATTTTGCATATTACTAAAAATAAATTACTATAAAATCTATTTCACTGGTAATTTTATATATATTAAGAATCAAAAGTATATAATCTAATAAAATCTGACTATGATTACAGTATGAAACAATGAATTAAATATTTTATAAATATAAAACTTTAAATGTTCTATAAATATAAAATATATAAACAAGATATTTTCTGGACAGTTTAATTGTATTCATCACTTTTATCATTTCTAGGACATTTTACTATGGAAAAAATACCAATTTATAGATAAGTTAAACACATAACCTTTGGAAATAAACCAAACTACTCTAATGGCAATAGTATTCTATGTCATTTAATGTGGAAGCATTTGCAGTTGTTACATATTGTATATTAATACAAATATATACATATTTGTATATTAATTTCTATTAATATACAAATATTATAGAAACATATTTGTAAACTGCACGAAAGCAGAAAAAATTTAAACAATTATATTCTAGGGAGACACATTTATTTTAACTGAAGCATAGTTTAAGGTTGGGAAACGGGAATTTAAATATCAAGTCTCGATTGTATAATAAATTTTAAAATAACATTGATTAAATTCACATGCTATTGTTACTTAAAATATATTGTGCTTATTTTTCGTATTTCAGTACAAACTTAATTCCTATGGATTTCATCCCTATTACATGGCTCTGGAAGAGGAGGGCAATGCTCATGGTGTTTTCTTACTCAACAGCAATGCAATGGGTAAAACAATCATTTGTTGAATGTCTCTTATTTTATGTGACTTTTTCATAAACTAGTATACATAGATGAAAATGGGATGTTATTTTGGATTTCCAGATGTTACATTCCAGCCAACTCCTGCTCTAACTTACCGTACAGTTGGAGGGATCTTGGATTTTTATATGTTTTTGGGCCCAACTCCAGAAGTTGCAACAAAGCAATACCATGAAGTATGATTGCATATTTCTTTTAAAAAAATTAAAAATTTTTATAGCATAAAGTAATTCTCTTAGTTCACACATGAATTTTTTTTAAAGGTAATTGGCCATCCAGTCATGCCAGCTTATTGGGCTTTGGGATTCCAATTATGTCGTTATGGATATGCAAATACTTCAGAGGTTCGGGAATTATATGACGCTATGGTGGCTGCTAACATCCCCTATGTATGTATATCAATTTTAAAACAATGTTAAATATGGAATACGTAAAAGTAGAATGAAATAATTAAACATGTATACTTTAATTTAAGCAGCTGGTAATAATGCTTAGCTTTTTTTACTGGCACCTTATGTATTGGATATGAGATTTATAAACAGTGTCTTTGTCAGACTGATAAAGGAGAGGAAGAAATACCATTCCTTTTCCTTTTCCCTCCCTAATACTATCATGCTGTGTTGTGCTAAACAAGTCACTGTGCACTTGATTTCCTCTCACAAACTCTGGGTTGTACAGGCAGTCACTATGTTCTCTTCATGTTAAAGTTCACAGAAATATGTATCATCAATAAGATAAGAAATCTGTATCATCAACCAGAGAACAAGTTGGAGGTGGAACTAATTTTTTTTTTGCCCTGGAATAGATAATAGTTGTAATATATAATAGAGATTCACTCAATATTCAGGAAGCTAAGTATTCCAAAGTATCCACAAATGATCAATCTCTGAATTTCCTCATTTTTTATCAAAATTAAGGAATCCTAGGGATGCTGCTGCTAACACCCAAACATTAAAATATAGAAGGCTTGATATATAAGAGTTTATTCTAAGAAAAATCAGAAAAACCTCATTATAAGACATTGGTATTTATAGTAGGGTCCAATATAGAGTTCCTGAATAACTAGTATGGGAAATTAATTATATATGTTGACAATACAGAAACATGCACGTGGAAATTTATTATTTAAAAGGAGGTATACATTATTGACCATACTTTCTATAACACATAGAAGAAGAAATTGAGATAATGTCAACTAACAGAAAATAATTAACAAATTTTGTATTTAGGCTTCAATTGAATATTCCATGATACAATTCAAATATTTGTTGGTTTAAACATACTTGCAATTACCTATCTTAAAACAATTCTTGCTTAGATAAGCAGGGCTGTTATCCTAAAAGTGACTTTGATGGATATTACAAGAACAAGATTATAGTAATTGATGTAATTGTTAATACTCCTTTTGCCAATATTAGAATTATTTGAAATTACCCGATATTTGCTGTATACTTCCCGGAAACAGCAACATCTCTTTCTGTATATACTGTACAAAAGTCCTATTTGTCATTTAACCTAATTTCATAGTATCATAAATCCTATTGCTCAGTGTCTTTCTGTTTCCTTTGAGGATTACATAATATATACCAATTTAGAACAGTTTTTACCTCTAAATCAAAATGACTAAATGAACTGTTGACAAAACAGAACATTTATAGAAAGTTGTTCTTAGAATACTTTACATCTTTACATGCTACTTTTATTCCTTGAACACTAAACCATTTAATTCTTTTTAGGATCTAGTGAAGAGGAACTCAAACTTTCATATTGCTGTTACTTTTATAAGTATGATAAAATATGATACACTTACTATTTTGTATTTTTTGCCCTACTTTGATAATTTTTGGATATTTCAGGATGTTCAGTACACAGACATTGACTACATGGAAAGGCAGCTAGACTTTACAATTGGTGAAGCATTCCAGGACCTTCCTCAGTTTGTTGACAAAATAAGAGGAGAAGGAATGAGATACATTATTATCCTGGTCAGTACTTGGAGTTTACCTGAGTCTTATTTCTTGTTTCCATTAATTCACCTAAAATGAGCAGGTGGGGGGGAAGATGTTTCAAAATAGAAAGTATATAACTTTGAGTAACACTCCCAAATCTAAAACTCTCTTCCTTTAGCACTTCATTTTATTTGCATGGGTTGTGATCAGCTACCTTTGTATTTAGGTATATCCCTAGAGATTTAAAACCAAAGCTGAGTTAAAGGGAAGCTGTTTTCTAGTTATCATCCAAGCTACAAATTGGCCTCTATTTATGGGAGTTATCAAAATGTAATGGTAGATTTTCTATTTTTATACAATTATTAGTTCATTCTCTGGGATTGCTTCTGATGTTTTTCATATTTAAAAACTTGCCTTCAGATTGGTGATTCAGTGAAGATAATTTTTTATCACTATCTTATAGGAAGTAAGCTAGTTAGCCAGATATCTCACCATAGAAATAAAAACAAAATAAAAACCTCTACTAATCTTTCTTGAAATGATAGCTGATGCATTTCCAAGAGTCCTTAGAATTTCCTTCTAAGAAATTTGGAGGGAAATCTAGCTAGAACACTGATGTTTGTATCATTTGTCATTTAATGTGAGAGCACATTATTATGATAATGTAGTAATGAAAACTTATGCTTCATAATCACTGTCCAAGTAGTTACGCTTTTTTCATGTGTACCTTGTTTATATTTCATTTTAATTTTAGGATCCAGCAATTTCAGGAAATGAAACAAAGACTTACCCTGCATTTGAAAGAGGACAGCAGAATGATGTCTTTGTCAAATGGCCAAACACCAATGACATTTGTTGGGCAAAGGTACTAAATCGATATCTTGAAATAGAATAAATACAAAAATTATATTTCAATGAAAGTTTCCATTTAATTAGTAAAAGTTAAAACCGTTCAGGAGAGCTATACAGAAATGTAATGATTTAATAACTAATAAAATAATGTATAGTCTTTGGTTCAATCCAAATTAGACACAAAGAAAGAATTCATATAAGTCACATGTCCAAATATGATTTGTTTCATCTTTAAGACATATTTTATTATATTTATTGGTACCACTTGTAATTTATTATAAGACTACCATTAGTAAGATGGCTACTCATTATTCTGTACTGCAAGTTATTTAAATGTTCACTTCTCTTGAAAACATATGTTAATAGTAGCAACAACATGTTTTGACAGCTATACTTATATTTAAAACTTAGATCATGAAGTATAATTCACTGTATTTTATATAAACAAGTATATTCAGACCTGATATATTAATATATTACAAAAATATTTTGATTTGGCTTTTATATAAAGCAATCAAGAAAAAAATCTCATAGTAAAAACTAGAATGAACAACAATGATAACACCATCAAAAAAATCTATGATGAGGGCCAGGCGTGGTGGCTCACGCCTGTAATCCCAGCTCTTTGGGAGGCCAAGGCGGGCGGATCATGAGATCAGGAGATCGAGACCATCCTGGCTAACGTGGTGAAACCCCGTCTCTACTAAAAATACAAAAAAATTAGAAGGGCATGGTGGCGGGTGCCTGTAGTCCCAGCTACTCAGGAGGCTGAGGCAAGAGAATGGAGTGAACCCGGGAGGCGGAGCTTGCAGTGAGCCAAGATCGAGCCACTGAACTCCAGCCTGGGGGACAGAGCGAGACTCCGTCTCAAAACAACAACAACAACAACAAAAAAAAATCTATGATGAGAGACACAATTAAATGAAATGTGAGAGGCTTTTTGAATCTTGGGCCAAAATTAAGACATTAGTGATTAAATCTGCAAAATGCAAACATGTTCAATAAATGTTGATTGTACTGTATCAACATTAATTTCCTGGTTTTGATAAGTTCACTATTGTTATATAACATGTTAACATTAGAGAAAGCTGAGTGAAGAATATAGACAGGGCTGGGCACAGTGGCACATGCATGTAATGCTTGCAGTTTGAGTGGCTGAGGTAGGAGGATTGCTTGAGCCCAGGAGTTCGAGATCAACCTGGGCAACATAGGGAGATTTTGTATCTACAAAAAATTTAAAAATTAGCTAGGCATGGTGGTGCATGCCTGTAGCCCCAGCTACTTGAGAGGCATATTAATCCAGAGGTTTTTTTTTAACTTCCTACTTTCTCCTCATTCTGTATTTCTACACATTTTGTCAGATTTCTACCATTTCTCCCCTTCCTTTAGAGCACTATTCTCTACCATCAGCTAATCCCTTGTAAATAATTCCTTTTTGGTGGATTATTTATATTTTTATATAGGACTTTCAAACTTCTACAATATAGATCCAAATTTCCAGAGCTTTCAGCAAATTGAATTTCAGCTCTGTTTTGTGTGTTTCTGGTCAGAGTAGAAGGAAAAAAATGTTGGTAGGCAATGAGGTCAGGCTGGGAATAGTGGTGGGATGAAGGGAGAGGAGGATTTAGTACTAATTCTGAAAATCACTGGGATGTTTGATTCAGCATGACATTATTCAATCGGATCTTTGCTTCCTTTCAAACAAAAAGATTTATTGTTTTTAGTTTTTAACCCTGGAGTAATTCTACAAATAATTCTAATATACTATATTAAATTAAATTTAACTTATATTTTTCATATTAGTTTTTGACCAGAACCTTTTGGTTATATGTATTATTTTCAAAATTACTAACTACCATAAAGGTTGGCAATGCTATTTTGTATTTGCCATATTAAAGAGGAGACTAACATGGAAAATGGGAATAGTTTGCAAATGGTATGTGTGTCAATAATAATGAGATTTGAAGGGATTGCAGATCTGAAGACTTTGAGTTAATAATAAGCCTCTAATACTCCATTACACTTCATCTACATAGCAATCATATCATGCTGACTATGTTTTGATCAGCTTTTCCATGTCTTGTCTCTTGTAGGTTTGGCCAGATTTGCCCAACATAACAATAGATAAAACTCTAACGGAAGATGAAGCTGTTAATGTAAGTTTTACACGGGCTAACTATACAATGAGAAGAAATTCAAAACTTAGACTTGATTATTTTAATCAATAACTAAATTTGAATGCTTTTCTTTAAAAATAGATGGCCATTTTAAATTATCGATATCAGACCATATTTAGATAAAATTTACCTAATTTTCCTAAATAACAAAGTACCAGTCACCCTATTAAGCAATTTTATATTTTGCTTTATTTAATCCAAGCAATCATTCCTTTATTTAAAAAGTTATGGCCTGGCACGGTGGCTCATGCCTGTAATCCCAGCACTTTGGGAGGCCAAGGTGGGTGGATCACGAGGTCAGGAGATTGAGACCATCCTGGCTAACATGGTGAAACTCCATCTCTACTAAAAATACAAAAAAAAATAACCAGGCGTGGTGGCGGGAGCCTGTAGACCCAGCTACTCGGAAAGCTGAGGCAGGAGAATGGTGTTAACCCAGGAGGTGGAGCTTGCAGTGAGCCCAGATCGCACCACTGCACTCCAGCCTGGGTGACAGAGCGAGACTCCATCTCAAAAAAACAAAACAAAACAACAACGACAAAAAATTATTACAGTAATAACATTTAACATTAGATCTACCCTCTTAATAAATGTTTATTCATATAATAAATCATCGTAAACTATAGGGGCAATGTTGTGCTGCAGATCTCTAGAATTTATTTACCTTGCGTAATTGAGATTTTGTGTCTATTTCTTAGCAAGCCCTTATTTTCTCCCACTTACAGTCCTGGGCAACTACCATTCTACCCTATGCTTTTATGAGTTTAACTGTTTTAGATACTTCATGTAAGTTGAATCATACAACATTTGTCTTTCTGTTACTGGTTTATTTCACTCAGTATAACATCCTAAACATTCACTCATGAAAGCAAAAGGAATGAATAAGATATTAAATGCAAATGATAAACAGAAGGGAACAGGAGTGGCTATAGTTCTATCAGAGAAAATACATTTTAAGACAATCACTGTCACAAAAGACAAAAGAAGTCATTATATAATGACAAAAGGGCCAATTCATTAGGAAGATACGATGATTATAAATATTTGCTCCCAACATGAAAGCACTTAAATATTTAAAGTAAACATTAACAGAACTGAAATGAGAAACAGCAATGCTGTTTGAAGACTTTGTTGCCACACTTTCAATAATAAATAGAACAATAATAAATAAATAATAATAATAAATAATAAATAAATAATAACAATAATGAATAAATAAATAATAAATGATAATACATAAATAGAACAATAATAAATAAATAATAACAATAATAAATAGAACAACCAGAGAGCAAATCAACAAAGAAACAGCAGTTTTTAACAACACCGTAGGCCAAATGGACTTAACAGACATACGTAGAACTTTCTACCCAAAAGCAGCCATATATACATTCTTCTCAAGTGCCCATAGAACATTTTCTAAGAGTGATCACATGTTAAGTCACAAGACAAGCCTTAAAAATTGTGAGAAGATAGAAAACATACCATTTATCTTTCCCAGCCACAATGAAATTAAACTAGAAATCAGAAAAAGAGGGGAAATAAGTCAATTCAAAAATACGTGGAAATTAAACAACCCACTTTTGAACAGCCAGTGGAACAACAAAAAGATCAAAAGAGAATTAGAAAATTTCTTCAGACAAACAAAAATAAAAATACAACTTAGCAAAACTTCTGGGATGCAGCAAAAGCAGTACTAAGAGAGAAGTGTATAACAAGAAACACCCACATGAAGAATAATAAAAATCTCAAATAAATAACATTACCTCTCAATGAATTAGAAAAAGAATAAACTTAAAGTTAGTAGAGGGAAGAAAATAAAGATTAGAGGAGTAAAAATTAAAAGAAAAACACAAAATAAATAGAAAATATCAACAAAACTAAGAGTTGGTGATCCTTCTTTTAGCCAGATGAATTTACAATCATTAAATTATACAAGTTTAGGTAACTGTGAAAAATTTGGGAGCTTAAAACTTACCAAAACTACTTCTAAAACAGAGTCAGATAATTGAACCTACTGAACTATGTCATTGAGGAAAAAAGTGTTATTTCAACTTGAGTTCCACCCACTATTCTTGAGAACCACTAGAGAGACAGGCATGGATTTTTATATAGGTGTTGGAGGACAGTGTCAATTTACGTAGAATGGCTTATGCAGAATTCCCTGGGATTCTCTTCCACAAAAGGTATCAACAGTGTTGGATTACATGTACCTGATTGATTTTCTGGATATAATCAATGATTTTATTTAAGTGATAGAAGCAGCCAGCTAATAGAATAAGTTAAACTAAAAAATGAATTATGTAAAGAGCAGAAAAGTGAAAATTAATGAAAAAGATCTGGCACTACCATTTGTTATTAATTATCATACGGGAGATCCTTGCATAGAAAATATTCAATATAATCCCACCAAGCCTTCTATCCTTATGAGTAAAATGTAATTAATAGGTAAGATGATAAAATTAAGTCCCTTTCTACTCTTGAAGATATTCATCATAGGCCAGGTGCGGTGGCTCACGCCTGTAATCCCAGCACTTTGGGAGGCCGAGGCGTGTGGATCACCTGAGGTCAGGAGTTTGAGACAAGCCTGACCAACATGGTGAAACCCCGTCTCTACTAAAAATACAAAAAATTAGCCAGGTGTGGTGGTGGACATCTGTAATCCCACCTACTCTGGAGGCTGAGGCAGGAGAATCCCTTGAGCCTGGGAGACAGAGGTTGCAGTGAGCCGAGGTTGTGCCATTGCACTCCAGCCTGGGCAACAAGAGCAAAACTCTATCTTAAAAAAAAAACAAAATCCATCATATGTATTTTGTAAATCTCTATATTTCCTACTCTCTGCATTTTCTGTATGTCCTCCGATATCTTGTTCATAAAGAAGACTGTTAAGGCCGTTACAACAGAATCTTAACATGTGCCAAAAAAGCATCCAGGTTGTCATGTCATTTTTTTGAGACATACCCAATTAACTTAGCTGCAGGTCAATCTTTTGCTAAAACACGGTTACTCTGACACTGGAACTTTTATGTTTCGACTGGCAAGTAGGGAATATTCTTAGTAGAGATTGGAATAAAACACCTCTTCTCTGTTGGGATGAGAAGGGCTAGATGTGAGAGACAAAAAAAGAAGCAGTTGATGAGGGTGGTGAGATGGTTCTGGGAAATGAGAAAGCTATATAAAAACAGGCTTTATACTATGGCCCTTTGCTGTTTCATTGTGCTCCACAAAGGTAAACCTGAAGTATGGGCTCTGCAGTAACAGAGAAAAAAAGCTTCCCCATTACTCTAGGAAGCACTAAAAATAATGCTTTTGTGGGTTGTGAACTGTTCCTTTATAATTCACATAGGATTCCAAAATGGCTCTATTATCTCCACCGATGTCCCTCTTTACTCTATTGAAGTGTTGAGGAAGAAACCACACACATTTATGTAATTAAGATTGATGTCAATTTCCTTCATTATCAGTCATACATGACTTGTGGATCTGTCAAATACATTCAGATTTATATGTATATAATCTCTCTTAAGACTTTCCACATGTGAGCCTAAATTTTGGTTTTACAGGCTTCCAGAGCTCATGTAGCTTTCCCAGATTTCTTCAGGACTTCCACAGCAGAGTGGTGGGCCAGAGAAATTGTGGACTTTTACAATGAAAAGATGAAGTTTGATGGTTTGTGGATTGTAAGTAAGCTTTGAACAATCTATGTTTTAAGTTATTTATTGTGCAGTGATTATGCAAAATTAGTACTTGGCTCAAATAATGTCAACAAAATATTTTATTTGAAAACTAGTCCACTTTTTTCCCCCACAGAACTTTCTTACACAAACAACTGCTAAAGTAAAGTGTTAAAAACTAAATTTATGTGTATGGATGCTATTTCCTGGACTTTTTCAATTTGCAAAATTCAAAAAGCAAAATATTCTATATATTAATAAATCCTTGTAAATATTTATTTCACTTTTATTTAATATAGGAATAAGTGTCAGGCTTAAATAACCATTAGTCCTTTGTATGAGAGATAAAAATTTCTTAAATTTGGTAACATTGTCTTTTAAAGTTTCTTTTTTGATGTAATCTTAAAATGTTAGTAGTAAGATTTTTAATAATATATTTTTTTAGATAGCATAAAAATAATTTACTTTGCTACAAGTAAATGCTTAATACAGAAAATTTTATGTAATATATTTCAATTTCCGGAGGAAAAATTTTTTACTTTGTTGATTTTTCCAGTGTAAAGCATTAATTTACTTATTTTTTAAATTGAAAAAAGCTTTATACAGCTGTCACTATGTGGAAACTTTGTAGATATAAGATTGTATAAAGCATATATTTTGTTTAAAAATTCATGGAACATCTATGTTTATTAGATGTAGCAATTGGTATACCATAAGGGATTCTCTTAAGTATATTCCTGAGAATGTCATCTGGATCCAGAGAAAATTATCTTTTTCAGGTGGAGGCAATCCATTTTAAATGGTGGCTGACTTATTTATTTAGATCATGATTCTTTTAAATATGACTACTGAGATTCTGAGATATGTACTCAATAGAGATACTTCTTGAAATTATCTGCATTTGTAAACTATTAATATATCTTGTAGTTTTAGCAATAAAAGCAATTGATATCAGGCTCAGGGCAGGAGTGGAGGGGAAGGAGATGATAGGGCACATATTATTATAATGCTATGTCTTAAAGATATGAAAATAAACTATTTTTATGGGTATAATGCATAATACAGAGAAAACAAAACATTTTATTTTTCAAAAGGAAACTGAAAAAAGCAATCAATGAGATAAACTAATATCATTGAGATGTTTTACAATTTTGTTTGTTTAGAATAGTGAGTATATATAACATTGTTCAAATATGTTAACCTACTTACTTTTTGAACTAGCTCTTTTGAGAATATATGTTGTAAATTTATCTTTTGTTTACCTTTTTCTTTCATCTTTTTTTAAGGATATGAATGAGCCATCAAGTTTTGTAAATGGAACAACTACTAATCAATGCAGAAATGACGAACTAAATTATCCACCTTATTTCCCAGGTACAATATTGTTGGTATGCCTTTGATATTATCATGTTATTATTATATATTAATAGGTATATAATATAAACTGATATATATCAGTTAGCTATACATAGAATATATATATAGAATATATATGTATATATAAAAAATCAGTTTGATATATATAGAAGGTAGGGAATAGGATTCACACACCCAATTTTCACTACCCACCCACACACTGGACCACACCTTGACCCATTACCAATATTATTTAACACTATTTTGAGAAAAAAATCAAGGAATATATTTTATCTACATGAACACAATTCTAAATTTGTTTGAAGTTGTTATTTTGGTTTGCTTAATAATTTTCCCAGATTCAAAAAATGTTAAATACTCTTTAAGATAAAAAATAAAATTATTTTGAAAGGAAGTTTTTAGAAGTGTTTCTTTACTAAGGATAAGGGAAAGAATGCTAACACTTATCTGTTTACCTTTGACATAGAAGGAAATGAAGATGAATGTGATGTTTCATATTCATCATCATTCTCTTATGCAGGCAGAAAACGTCACAAACTATTAGCATATTAAGTGATGGCAAAACTCTGGAAAAAAATCTTAAACTGAGAAAATGTGGATCAAAAGGCAGTGTTATAACATTTGCCTAGCCCTTAAACTCTGGGCTTTATGATACCAAGTGAATTTTTAATAAAACTCTAATCAGTGTTTTCCATCTAAATGCACTAGAAAGAGTAGACATTGAGGAGTGTACTTATTTTTCAGGTTTTTATTAATTCATGTAATTCAGTTACAATTTCAGGCCATTTTAAGTTGATAATTAACTCATACAAAGTATACAAATGGTTAAAATATACATAGGTTTTATAAAACACTGATTAATTTCTTTGTCAAGGAATACATAATTATGAGTTACACGTTTCATTGTAGGGCACTGTATAATATATTAATATTTTTTCATTGATTCTTTCCAGAACTCACAAAAAGAACTGATGGATTACATTTCAGAACAATTTGCATGGAAGCTGAGCAGATTCTTAGTGATGGAACATCAGTTTTGCATTACGATGTTCACAATCTCTATGGATGGTCACAGATGAAACCTACTCATGAGTAAGCAATGTTCTGAATTATCCTCTCTGACTCTTTTATTCTTTGGTTCTTACATTTAATGTTATCATTTTAACAGTCCCGACAATCTTCTCTTGTATCTCTTTACTTCCCAATTGTTCTCTGTAACTTCTTCCTTCATAGCATTTAGAAAAAATGTGTTTCTTTCTATCTAATTTATCTAAATATCTTTATTGTTATTATTCTAATTTCTATACTATTCCAAAATAAATCCTAGACCATTTTTATTTTGTTTCTATGTGCCCAGCATAGTGCCTGGCCAATTGTAGGTGCTCAATAAATAATATTGGATTAATATTTATAAATGAATTAATAACATATAATTTGATATCATTAAGACATAAAGCATCAAACATTTGGCGAAATCTGTTATTTGAATTCATTGTCAGCCCAGGCACAGTGGCTCACGCCTGTAATCCCAGCACTTTGGGAGGCTGAGGCGGGCGGATCAATTGAGACCAGGAGTTCAAGATCAGCCTGGCCAAAATGGTGAAACCTCATCTCTACTAAAAATACAAAAAATTAGCCAGGAGTGGTGGTGCAGAGCTGTGGTCCCAGTTACTCGGGAGGCTGAGGCACAAGAATCGCTTGGACCTGGGCGGCAGAGGTTGCAGTGAGCCAAGATTGTGCCATTGCACTCCAGCCTGGCAACAGAGCGAGACTCTCTGTTTCAAAATAAAAATAAAAACATAAAATAAATAAATTCATTATTAGTAAATTAGAGCACTTTTAATGAACTTCTCAAATATTAATGATCATAGTAATTATCTGCATTTTTAACAAACTTTTATGTAAGGCCAATGATGATGGAATACAGACCATTCACTGAAAATCAATTCTTTATTAGCACTTTCCAATACAAGTTTTGCAGTGATTGAAATCTTCTGGCCAGGCACAGCAGCTTATACTTGTAATCTCAACACTTTGGCAGGCTGAGATGGGAGGATCACTTGGGCCCAGGAGGTTGAGGCTGCAGTGAGCTGTGCTCCTACCACTGCATTCCAGCCTGGGCAACAAAACAAGAACCTGTCTGAAAAAATAAATAAATATATAGAAATCATCTATAATTCTGGGTGCCAATGTGGTACTTACCAGCCATATATGGCCATGGAACAATGTGTCTAGTGTGACTCAGGAATGGAATTTTAAAGTTATTTAATTTTAAGTAGTAGTATACAATAATTAAATATGAAATAATAGATAATTAGTGGCTACCATATTAGACACTGCAGTTGTAGATCCCTGGCTTTTGACTACATATTATAATCACTTGGAGATTTTCTTTTTAGGGTTTAGATTTTTTTTAAGTGTCATGTGCACATAGTAGGTGGGTATATATATTGGGCAAGTGAGATACCAAGCATGCAATACACAGTAATCACCTCATAGAAAACAGAAGGATTTTTCCCCTCAAGATTTATCCTTTGTGTTACAAACAATCCAATTACACTTTTAGGGTTTTTTTTAAGTATACAATTAAACTATTATTGACTATCATCCTGTTGTGCTATCAAATAGTATATATTATTCATTCTTTCTAACTATATATATAGCACCCATTAACCATCCCTGCTGTATTAGTCTATTTTCACTCTTTCATAAAGATACTACCTGAGACTGGGTAATTTAAAGATGTTTATTTAAAGACTGGGCAATTTAAAGAGGTTGAATTGACTCACAGTTCTGCATGGCTGGAGAGTCCTCAGGAAACATACAATCATGGCAGAATGTGAAGGAGAAGCAAGGTGCATCTTACATGACTTTAGGAGACAGAGATAGTGATGGGAGAACTGCCATACTTTAAAACCATCAGCTCTCATGAGAACTAACTCACTATTACAAGAATAGCGTAGGGGAAACCGCCCCCATGATGGAATCACCTCCCACCAGGTCGCTCCCTTGACAGGTGGGGATTGCAATCCCTGATGAGATTTGGGTGGGATCACAAAGCCCAACCATAACACTTGCTTTCCCCTCACCCCCACACAACCCTTCCTAGCTTCTGGTAACCATCCTTCTCCCGTCTATATTCATGAGTTCAATGTTTTGCTTTTTCAAAATTTTTAGCAGCCACAATAAGTGAGAACATATGAAGTTTTTCTCTGTGTCTTACTTAATTCATTTAACATTTAATGACTTCCAGTTTCCTACATGTCGTTGCAAATGACAGGATTTTATTCTTTTTTATAGCTGCATAGGACTCCGTTGTATATATGTACCATATTTACTTTATCTAATCATCTGTTGATGGACACTAAAGGTGCTTCCAAACTTGGCTATTGTGAACAGTGCTGCAATAAACATGGGAGGGCAGATATCTTTTTGATATATCTTTCTTTTGGATGCATATTCAGCAGCAGGACTGCTGAATCATATAGTAGCTCTATTTTTATTTTTTGGGGAAACTTCAAACTGCTCTTCATAGTGGTTGTATGAATTTACATTCTTACCAACAGCGAAAGAGCATTACCTTTTCTCCACAGCTTCAACAGCATTTGTTACTGGCTGTCTTTTGGATAAAAGCCATTTTAACTAGGGCGAGATGATGTCTCATTGTAGTTGTGATTTGCATTTCTCTGATGATCGATGATGTTGAGCACCTCTTCATATGCCTGATTGCCATTTGTATGTCTTCTTTTGAGAAATGCCTATTCAAATATTTTGCCCATTTTTAAATCAGATTATTAGAAGTTTTTCCTATAGAGTTGTTTGAGCTCCTTATATATTCTGGTCATTAATCCCTTGTCAAATGATTATTTTGCAAATATTTTCTCCCATTCTGTGGTTTGTCTTTTCACTGCGTCTTTTGATTGGAGTGTTTAATCCATTTATATTCAATTTCATTACTGATGAGTAAGGACTTACTCCCACCATTTGTTATTTGTTTTCTAGTTGTTTAATGGTCTTCTCATTCCTCTTTCATTTCTTCTTATTTCCCTTTTCTCTGGTGTTATTTGATTTCTTGCTTTTTATATTTTGTATATCTGTTGTATGCTTTTTCATTTGCAATCACCATAAGGCTTGTGATTTTTAAATAAATTATTATTTAATTGGTCTCTTTTATAGCCTAAGCATCTGAATATTTAAAACTTTCCAGGCAGTTCTAATGAGCAGACAGGGTTGAAAACTTCTGTTCTAACAAATAGCTGAAGTTGATAAAAGAATAAAAAGCATTTTGAAGTAAAGAGTATGGATAAAATTTCTCGCTTAGTAAAACCTACTTATCTTATTTCTATCAATTAACTCTTAATCAACTCAGAATACATGAATGTATGACCAAAAACTCACTTGTTCACCAAATCCAAAAATAAAACACTAAGTTATTTTAAGAGTGAATAAACTGGCATTGAACAATGCCTTTTCACTGGGGCAAATGTTACTTTTGATTAACCCTGCTGGAACACAATATTGGGGCATAATTATCCACAGCTAAATTTACTTTAACTAAAACTGTAGACATTAAAAAGAACAAAAATATTGAAAATTGAGTGATGATCTTATTGACAAAAATTATGTGCTTTGAGTTGAAAGTATGTAGCTTAACAAAAATTGAAAAAAAAATTCCTCTCCACAGAAGACAGGAAATAAGTATACTTCTGAAGCACATTACAGAGTCAAACATGATTCTTGACACATTGTGGATGCTTAGTAAATTTAAATAAATTCATCATTATCCTGTTATAATCACAGGTATCAAAGTTGTTTTGATAAGTTCAAGGTAGATACAGGTAAATTTCCAAATAGTCCATATGCAGAGATATTTAAGCGTATGTAAAGTCCATTTCCACTTTTAAGCAAAATTATGAGGAGGAAATCAGCACAATCTTCCATGGAATATCCTTGAAAATGAAATCAATATACATATACTTATTAGTGCTAATTTTGCTCTCGTTCATAAAACTTTTCAGTGCAAGTTTCAATCACATTACTTAAATTGAGTAGATTAATTGGATTAAGTATTAAGTAGCCTATTTTATACAGTCTTATATTTTTCATATGTTTCAGATACTTTCTTAATATTTTAATTTTTTCAGTTACAAAAAACTGCTGAACTCGGAAAATTTTAGAGATTAAATAATTAATTACATGTATAAAGACCTTGACAAATGTAAAAAAACACTATAAATAAGGTACATGTTACATTTAAGCAAATTATGAAGAGTAAAGTCTTTCTGTTTATCATTGAGGAAAACTGAACAAATTATAAACACACGTTTTTTTCTCAAGTTATACAGACCATAGCATTTTGTTTTTTAGTGACTTATTTTCTGTCTTACAAACTGCCACATATTTGACATTTAGCTATTTCTTGCTACTGTGTTCTTTCACTTAACATGAAACAAACAAGAAGCAACGAAAGAATAGCATGCATGGATTCAGAAATGGGATTTAATCAGCTTGAGAAATTGCAGATAGTTTTACACAAAGAATCATGGACACTAATGGCAAATAAAAAAAGCTTCATATAGAAATCCTGCACAAAAAGTTTTGAGTCTTCAATTGCTCTCATCTCTTGTAATTTGAAATTCAATGTTGTATTGAAATAAAGCCTATTCTTCAAATGTAGAAAGAAATACATTCAAAAATCTACTTCAAATTATGGGTTCAAATTTCGGACAAATATTCAAGGATTATGTAACTACACATATATTATTTTCATTTTTACCAAAAGCTTTAAAGATGTTAGGGATTAGTACCTACTATTCATTAGAGAGGACTTAGAAAATTAAACATCTTTGACTCCCTCTGAATGCTTAGGTTGTGTTTTAATATACAATTTTTAAATAAGTGCCCAAGAGTTTTGTAATCATAAAATGGAATGGAAAAAGTCAATATTTATAAATTATTTTTGCAGATATTCTTATAAACTGGGATAATTTGCAACTTGGAAAATTATATTTAATGTAACTTTCTGGAAAAATAAGAGTGCCTTTTTGAAGTGGGGGCATTGTAAACTATAGGAAGTGGTCTCTTGTATATTTTTTTTAATAAACAAAAACTAGTCTATGAAAAAACAAACACAGTATACCTCACCTCATTCACTAATTTAGAAGTTACTTTAGTTATAGCTGTAACTTTCTATTAATCAGCTGTTCGTCTCAAGACCGGATAGTAAATGCATGTCTTTCAGACATTAGATTCTGAATGATATAGATGAATAGAACATTGATACAATTGGTATATCAAAATATAAAATTTGAGATATGAATCTATAAAACTCTTTCCATGATATAGTGTTTCACATTGTCTTCTTGCTAAAGGAAATTTCAAATTTCATTAATTTGTTATACACTAAAACATAATTAAAATATTTTAGCCTACAAAATACTTATCCAATTTCAAAATTAAAACAGATATTACATTTTCTGATCTAATGGTGACTATTTGAAATGTGAGTTGGGAAAATTTATATTTCTAACAAATACTAAATATATTGCCTTCAAAAATAATTCAATAAAATATCTTTGAGTTTTCAAAGAGTTGTTTTCATGAAAATGAGGATAACAATTCTGTAATAACTTTCTTTTCTCTACTATACAGCAGTCTGTATTCTAAAATAATTTAACACCATCCAATCATGAGAACACCGTCCAGTCATGAGATAGAAGTGTTTGGAAAATGTTTATAAATTGATTTCATCAGTAATTGAAGATAATAGTCACATTAATTAATTTAACATTTTCTTTTAGAAACTATGACTAAAATAAAGATATTAATTATTGGAAGATTAAAAATATGTTTTAAATTTTTAAATTTAATATTCTCTTCACATATTTCATTTTTGTAATATATATGTAGAGTTTCTGGTTTTACTTCTATAAAAAACTTTTTTATAATAATTGAAGATATATTCTAATTTTTAAAATATATTTCAAGAAAATGCTCCTGTAGGCAATAATAAACACACAACAAAAATATCTCTTTCTTATAAGCTGAACTCTCCAATGTCAAGTGGTAACAAAGAACAAACTCTTCTGGCTTAAAGCTGTTTCTCAAGAATAACTTAAACTAAGTTAATTGTGACTGAACAATTTGTAAAATTGAAACAGTGTTGGAAATAATTAGAATATATTTACCGTGTTTGAACTTTATATCTTTAGTGGCGTCAAATACATATTCTGTGTGAGGGTTTACAGAGGAGATTCCTCTTATATAAGAGTTTAGAATTCCCTTAAGAGAAAATTATTATGAAAATACCTCATTTATTTTATAGTTTTATTTTAATTTACAATTAACAATAGTAAATATGGAGTACATTGTGATGTTTTCATACATTATACAGTGTGAAATGATCAAATAAGGCTAATTAGCTTATTTATCTTCTCAGATATTTATCATTTATTTGTAGTGAGAACATTTAAAATTCTTTCTTTTAGCTATTCTGAAATATACAATATATTAACTATGGTCATCTTGCTAAATTTATTCTTCCTATCTAACTGTAACTTTGTGCCCATTGTGTGAAACTACTTTATGTAGAATCCTTATCAACCTGATAAGCATATATTCAGCTATTAATTTAAAGTATCAGTAAAGAAGTTTTTCAAGTGTAAGATATATAATAGAGAAAAAAAAGAAATCCTCCAGAAACATAATTTTCTTTCATGTGAACACGTGAAGAATTTGTGACAACACTGTCCTTGTAAATAATTTTTATATTAAACAAAACTAATTTTGTTTGCAAATGAACTGAACTCCAAAAATACATTTTCATATAGATTTATAGAATTATCACCAATTATTACTCTTCATATTTATATATTTATTTCTTATTAAATTTCAAAAAAATATATGTAATGTATATTTAAAAGATTAATATTCCTAAATGGCCATTTTATATTTGTTATGAAAAAATAAAGCAGTGAAGATCATTTTCTTTTATTGGTTTTTTAAAAGAGTGACAATTTAGAAGTAGAACATTTTAAGTTAACTAACACAATATTGCCTTTATTAGCAAGTGATGGTTCAATATGTTATGTCTGTTTAACACATTTTTAGTTGCTTGCACTTTTGACTTGAGACATTTGTTAATTCCGAACTTTCTTGAGCTACTATTACATGCCAAGCATTGCATTAGATATAAGGGATGCAAGGAAGATTAAAGTATAGCACTTGATTTTAGGAATCTCAAGGTGTCATGGAAGGAGCTTTATATACATACAAACACTGGGATCCTGCTGTAACAAGGAAATGACTCAATACTTTTGATAATGTGTTAGTGTCCAGTAAAGTCTGCCTAATTATGTATTTGTGGTATCTTCTTCTAAGATAGTTCTGTAGCTCTTATTCATATTCAAATTATTTGAGTAATATAAAAATAAAATTTTTATTTCCAACTAATATTAGAGTAAAACTTTATTGATACTCTTATAATATAATCTGTGTTCAGTCAGAGAGAAAGGCAGAGGGAAAAGAAAGGGAGATAGAAGAAAACAGATGAAGATGATATAAAAATACTTATTTTTTTTCTAAAACTAGAACATATTTTAACATGCATGTCATTAAATTCATTCTCCAAAGACTGAGAAGGGAAATAAATCATATGATTTCATTTACACAACCCATTCTGTTGAGAAGAACTTACTCCCAATAGATTCTACACTTGAAATGGAGCAATTCTTTTTAGTTTTAAGACCCGAGAATACTTTGCTCTCTTCAAATTAAACCTTTAAAGCAAAGAGTATGATAGTAGGCATTGTCTGCACAGTAATATGTACATTAAGTGTTGATATGTTACAGTTGAGAGGCGTTGGGGCAATGAATAGTTAGAGCATAAGCCTTTATTAAAAATACATTAAAGTAAAATAAAAAGCTCAATGTGATGAATTTGTTGATTTCATTCAATTAATAGTTGATTTAACTTGTATTCATTGAAGGAATATATAAAGGCCTCTTAATATCTGCATGTCACTCTGGTAAATGTTGGAAGGGAAAAAGACGTCCTTTATGTTTTGAGGATTTTATAATTTAATGAGAGAAGACAAACTTATCAAGAGCCAGTTGTAATAAATGACAATATAAGCACCACAAATCACTATTTTTTTTTACAAAGTAGTCGTAAGTAGATATATTTGGAGAAAATATCTCATGTAAAAACTCAAAAATACTTCTCTACTATATTAGTGCATTGCAGAAGACAACTGGAAAAAGAGGGATTGTAATTTCTCGTTCCACGTATCCTACTAGTGGACGATGGGGAGGACACTGGCTTGGAGACAACTATGCACGATGGGACAACATGGACAAATCAATCATTGGTAAGTGAAAGTCACCATCTTTATTATTATTTTGTGTTTTCTATTAGATACTCACTTTTGCTGGTGCTAGGTCATAACATTTATAAGTCCTCAGAATTTTGTTCTTCACATCGTACTTTATGTCATATAGCATCAGAAAAAGACAGTGGGCCAGGAAGCTGGATTGAGGGTGCTGTGTAGAAACTAATGATCTTCAATTAGTTTATTTTGAGGAAATGGTGTCATTGTTATTGGCCTGAGTTTCCTTACTGAAAAGGGCAGTAGCTGGCAAAGATAAGGTCTAGAGCTAATAGAGAGAAATGAATAGAAATTCTAGATTTCATAGCTATTATTAAAAAGTCAAAAAATAACAGATGCTTTCAAGATTGTTGAGAAAAGTTGACATATATACTGTTGGTAGTAGTGTAAATTAATTAAACTATTGTGAAAAGCAGTATGATGATTCCTCAAACAGCTAAAAACAGAATGACCATTCAACCCCAAAATCCCATTAGTGGTTATATACCCAGAGGAATAGAAATGATCCTACCATAAAGACATGCACAAGAAGGTTCATTACAACACTATTCACAAAAGACACTCTTCGACAAAGACATGGAATTCGCCAGTTCGCTATTCACCAAAGACATGGAATCAGCCTAAATGCCCATGAATGGTAGACTGAATAAAGAAAATGTGGTACATATACACCATGGAATATATACAGCCATAAAAAATGAGATCATGACCTTTCAAGGGACATGGATGGAGCTGGAGGCCATTATCTTAAGCAAACTAACAGAGGAACAGAAAACAAAATACCACATATTCTAACTTATAACTGGGAGCTAAACACTGTGTACACATGGACACAAAGAAGGGAACAACAGACACCAGGGCCTATATGAAGTTGTGGCGTGGGAGGAGGGTGAGGATTGAGTAACAGCCTGTCAAGTACTATGCTTATTATCTGGGTGACAAAATAATCTGTACACAAAACCCCTGTGACAAGCAAGTTACCTAAATAATACACCTGCAAATGTACTTCTGAAACTGAAATTTAAAAGATTCTAGATTCTAGGGAATATAAATCACTGATAGATGCTAAAAAAAAAAAAGAAACATTTCGAACCAAATTTGGAAAGAAATTTGTGACAATAGTAGAATAAGTGCTAAATAAGACATTACCATTTTAATAGGGAAATAGATACTTTTGTGCTCTATATTTAGTCTTAAAATTTGTTCACCATTGATAAATAAATTCAAGGAAAACAATTAATTCTTAGAAATATTCCTTTAAAATAAGAGCTCAGAAATCATATTCATTGTATTTTATAGAATTGATTACTCCTTAAAGGATTTGTTTAATAAGAATGGTTCAGTTTTTTTCAAATGATAGACTGAAACCAGTTGAACCTATAGTTCAATCAGACCTATAGTTAAGTAACTGCAGAAATAGCATATTTATTTTCAAAAATGAAACTGTGGACACCACTTTCTTCTCACACTATAATGTGTTTATAATGTATTTGTTGTCTGAATATGTCACCTTGCAAGTGTCAAGGAAGCTTATAGTATCTTATTTTTGTAAATATCATAAATGCTACAAAGTCAAAATGTGTGAGCATTATGAGAAGCATTATGAGATAATTATATTAATAATCTGAAAAATGTTTCAGGTTTGGAGGTTGATATTAAAAACAGAACATCATCATAAATAGAAATAAAAAACAATATTAAAATATATGAAATAATAACTTTCTAAGATATTTTTTCTAACTTTTTCAGGTATGATGGAATTTAGTCTGTTTGGAATGTCATATGTAAGTAGTTTTATTCCTTTTATCTTCATAAATTATAAACATTCATAAACTATTCAAATTTAACTAAATATAACAATATATTTTAGACTGGAGCAGACATCTGTGGTTTTTTCAACAACTCAGAATATCATCTCTGTACCCGCTGGATGCAACTTGGAGCATTTTATCCATACTCAAGGAATCACAACATTGCAAATACTAGAGTATGTAATTACTACATTTACTTTCAGTATTTTCTTACTTGGGCTATGCTTCATTATACTTTAGTGTACATGGCTTGGTTAGCTGGTATATTTATTGATGTTATATATAATTTTGGAGTAGTGAGGAAATTGTCTGGAGGAACTTTTTTTGAGTATCTGGGGAGACATTACTAAAAATTATGGAAGAGTAGGAACAGTTAGAGCCAATATCTAAATAAGCACTAAATTTCATGATGCTGACTTTCAGTGAAGAAATGCAGAAAAATGATAAATTAGCAAAATGCGCATGATGGACAGGTTAAAGACAGAGCTGGCCTTTAAAAGATGTGCTCTGCCTATAGTAAGTAAATGGCAGAGCTCGTGATGTGCTGTGAAATCTACATGGTCCCCGCACTGGAAACTTGGGTAGAAATAGAGAGTAGGATTTATTTTAGAAAATGCTGAAATACAAGGATTGTAGGCAGAACGGAACCACGTTTGAAAGAATTTGAAAGCTGGACAATAGAGACATAACTTGATGAAACAGTAATATCTCAACAGGAAAATTTGCTGTCAATAATGCAATTTAGAAAGCTGTAATATTGGGAAAGTAGAGCATGAATCAATGAAAGCTTGGGGAGAGATTCATTATTGAGAATATACTATTTCATATTTACGAAGTCCTTGCTCAAATGATTTATATATTCTAAAAAGGGATATAAATAATAGACCATTTTATATGTAATAGGTCAGATACAAATAAATGTCTATAAGGGAAAATAGATTAAACTAAAGTGATGGAGTTTTATAGAGATTCTGCTTTAGGAAAAGTGCTCAGAAAGGTATTAAATGAAGGAATACTAGAGCTGAGATGGGTGTGGGGAACAGTAACCAATATAAACGTATGGAGAATTCCACATGGGAGCAACAAAGTAAAATACCCAATGATTGTAATGTGGTTGGTGTTTTTAAGGAAAATTCAAATGCAGAAGGAGGGAAAGACTGAGGAAGTATTTCTAAATAAAAATCTAGAGGATAGAAAACTCTACTTAAGTTTAAATATGAGTTGGTACAAATGAACTATTGAAATGTATTACTCGAATTGTATAGTTTAGAATTAGATGCTTGTGTATCAACATGTTAAAACTAAAATCATATTAATGAGGTCAATAAGCAACAGATATGATCTTTGCCTTTTTTCTTCTTATTTAACTTTGGAAATACCAGCAATAGGATTACATACAGCTTAACAGTTCTTGGACCATTTTTACTTTCAAGATTTTCTGTATTCTAATACTGCATATAACAGCTATGACATGAAATTTTCATTCAAACTTTCTTACTCTTAAAATACAGAAAAATTGGAATCATCATCGATATGACACAACTATAAAGGGCCCCAGTCATGCTGATGTCAACGAAAAACATTTAAATGTTACCTCGAGCTTTGTGATGGCCTTGCTTATTCCCCTGGTGCAGATCAAAATACAAAATAGTAATAACTTTTCTTGCCTATTATTTTTTAACTAATATGTGCAAGAATTTTTTTTGTAGACTTTTAATCTTCCACTCTAAACTTTAGACTAAAAATTTTAGTCTTTTGAGCTGGAGTGTGCATTCCAGAGCATACTCAGGCACATTATTTCCTTTCATTCATCTTTATGCCTTCCCTTCTATCTGTACTATGTATTCTTTAGTATTCTTTAGTACCATAATCTGTTCATTTCTCCTGAGAACCCACAATGTGCATGGTCACCATCATTTGCTCTGCTTGTCTATGTTTATTTCAATCGACTTTGGATAGCCTATCATTTCATTTATCTCCTACACTGATCACTCTAACACTGACTATCACCTAATTGACAACATATTTGTCATCCATTAAAATGTGAACTTTTCTTTGGGTATGTTCACTTAAACTAAATCAAGCCATGGATTTAATTTGAATTTCTCTTATTAAAATGTTGTGTACCTTTTCTCTTTATCATGTGATAGAAATATTATTGTGTAAGATTTTGGGAAGAAAGTACATAGCACATGACAATCAATTAATATCATGTCTTACTTTTTAGTTCTTCAAATATGAATATGAATATTATGACTTAAACAAGGACCAAAGCTTATAACTATGTTATTTTGCTTTGTTTCAGAGACAAGATCCCGCTTCCTGGAATGAAACTTTTGCTGAAATGTCAAGGAATATTCTAAATATTAGATACACCTTATTGCCCTATTTTTACACACAAATGCATGAAATTCATGCTAATGGTGGCACTGTTATCCGACCCCTTTTGCATGAGTAAGTACAAAGTTTGTTTTCTCTTATCACAGAGAGATACTTTTCACTTAATTTACCCAATGATCTCTTATAGTGCAATATAAAATATTTTAGATTGGCAGTTTTTCCATTGTTATATTAGCACACATTTTTTATTAATAAAGCATTTACACAAATATGTCCATTAATAAATAGACTAGCATAAGCCATTAAAGAATGAACCACATTAATTAGTTATTAAAAAGTAATGATTCTATTTCAGAATAATTACTGTATACAAGGTATTGTTCTACATGCTTTGTATATGTGCTTACATTGACTATTCTCAACATTTCCAGGGAGATAAGTAATGCCCCTCATGATTTAATTAATCACGGTTTACTGCAGTTACGTAAATCTACTATATACAGATGTCTTACTGGAGACCATTCCACCTTTTCCTTGATGTATCCCAATGAGATACACAGGAACAGTTTCAACATTATCCTTATAAATTTGTTTTGGATTCACCTCTTAAAGCTCAAACTTTTATATGACCAAATCTTAAAAATTCTATTTCATGGAGCATATTTGCAAAAATTTTCATCCATTTTATTTTTAAGTTGAATACAATCAAATTCTTATTGTAGATATTACAAAAAGCAAAGCATGCAGTCAAACATAAAAACAAAAAAACCCCGAATAATCACAGTATATTTAGCTTTTTGAGCACCCTATATTACCAGAGTAATTGAATGAGATTATTTGTTAGATTTCACTATTGATAAGCCCATTTAAAAAAGGCAAATATTTACCCAAATTAAAACAATACCCAAAGTAAATTTACCAAAATAAGAAGTGAATTGGTATGCCTTCTCTTTTGATGATAGGATAAGCGATCCAGTTTTCCTAAAACAACAACAAAAGATTCTTTCTGGATTCAAATTATGTTCTGGTTGCTTTATTAATTTATCATCTACCATAATCCCTTCTTTATTTCTGATAACATTTTATTGATCTCCTTTTTATTTACAGACTTTACCCCTTTTTGTTATTCTTATTTGCTTCCCAGGATAATGGAGTATCACCTCTGGGCTGAGTCACTAGTCAGAAATATTATTATTAACTATACAGACTGTTGTTCTATTGAGATTACCTCGGTTTCTACTTTCATGAGTTTATGGAGGTGTAAGCCCATCTTTCCAATTCAGCATTAATCTCAGCTTTTAATAAGGCAAAACAAAACCACAACAAAAGAACAAACAAATTTTAAGAAACAGCTTTTCTTTTTCATTTCAATTGGAGAAGAAATGTGAACATTTAATAGTGGCTCTTAAGCCATTAAAAAACAAAACAAAACAAACAAAAAAAAAACCTTTGTTTTTCCTAGCCATTTGCATCTCAAATTCAGAAATCCATTAACATGTTACAGAGCCTTTAGGAACATGTAAATCTACTATTTAGAGAGTTTATTAAGTAAGATAAGCAAACTCTTTTTAAAATTAATGAATTAAAATTCTTACAGTATGTCTCACAATTTTCTTCCAGTGTTTTTAATATGTTTTTTAATTTGTTGATCATATACTAGGCAAAGTTAATATTTGTACCTCTATTAGTTCTCTTCCAAAGTAATTTCTCATTTAGTTGATGTTACATGTCCATCAGAATTCTCTATTTTCTCCGGAAATTTAGTCATAGTCTAGATTTACTCATAAAGTATTATACTGCTGAGCATTGTACTATTACATTCCAACTGATATATTTTTTAATTTTTTTACAGTTTTGTTTTTATTTTAATCCACAAAAGTCCATACTACAAAATGTAATTTGAATAATGATTTTATGGTATTCAGAAGAAAGTTATTTGTTTTAATTTAATTATTTGTGATAATTTTGTCGAGGTTCTTTGATGAAAAACCAACCTGGGATATATTCAAGCAGTTCTTATGGGGTCCAGCATTTATGGTTACCCCAGTACTGGAACCTGTAAGTCCTACCACATATTTTTGTTTACACAATTTTCTTTGGTTTATATACAACTAATGGCTATTTATTTACATTCCAGTATGTTCAAACTGTAAATGCCTACGTCCCCAATGCTCGGTGGTTTGACTACCATACAGTAAGTATTTAAGGAATTCTGGGGAATTAACTAAACAGAAACGGGTAATTGTTTGGCCCTAGCCTTTTCATTAACGGTATGTTGGATTTACTTTCCACTTAAAAAGAGTGGAAAGTAACATATTTCCGGTAAATTATAGCTGAATTGAATTAATCCACAGTGAAAGAGAGTTAATTTATTCTGCTACAGTTTGTTATGTAGTCATTGATTTATTTTAGCAAATAAACATGGTAACTACACATTACATACAAAAAGATAATTGTCTTTTATTGGATATATAAAATGATCATTAAAGGTAGTGCAGTCTTTCTAAGAATAATGTACATGGCAAGTCAAGCAGAGCTTTTGTGACTTTTCAAAAATCCACACACTTTAGGCATGTGAACTCCACAAAAACAACGCTATAAATGATTTTCAAAGCTATCATAAAGACTTATATTTAACTAGATTCTAAAGATATGCTTTTTTAAAAAGTAAATTTCACCATGTATATTTAAGGTATACAACATCATGTTATGAGATATATATATAGTAAAATGGTTACTATAGTGAAACAAATTAAGATTTTCTGAATAAATGTGAATTTTTTAATCTAAAAGTGTATCATTTGATTTTTTAAAATGTATATCCTCAACTACCAGTGTTGCTGATGATTCCATTTCTTGCTCCACCTGTTCTTTCCATCCCTTTCATTTCCAGGGCAAAGATATTGGCGTCAGAGGACAATTTCAAACATTTAATGCTTCTTATGACACAATAAACCTACATGTCCGTGGTGGTCACATCCTACCATGTCAAGAGCCAGCTCAAAACACATTTTACAGGTAAGTGAACTGTTTACAAAGCTCAGGTTAAATTTTGAGATACATCATGCTAGCATTGTTAAGAAATAGAAAGGGTTTGAAATTTTAACCCATCGCCAAGCTAGTACATTAGCCTGCCTCAGTAACATGAATGCCAGGTCAGAGACAAAAGTGTTTGTGGTTTATAGCATAGCAAGAAACAGGAACTTTATCTTAGCATCAGGTTTTCTTTTCCACCAAGTCCCATGGGGATGACATGGAGCGACCCAGGCAGATGTTGCACATGTAGGAGGTCTGTGTCACAAATAAGGAACCCCAGGTTTAGGAAAACCCTGTCTTTAATAAGACTACAAACAAATCTATCCATTATTTGCTTCAAAAAAAATATTATCTTTTTTATATTGGACAGTCAAAAGAAATATTAAGAATTTTTAAAAAGAAACCCTGCCGTCCAATGCTATTCATTTTTTTTTTTACTATACTTTAAGTTTTAGGGTACATGTGCACAACGTGCAGGTTAGTTACATATGTATACATGTGCCATGTTGGTGTGCTGCACCCATTAACTTGTCTTTTTAACATTAGGTATATCTCCTAATGCTATCCCTCCCCCATCCCCCTACCACACAACAGGCCCCGGTGTGTGATGTTCCCCTTCCTGTGTCCATGTGTTCTCATTGTTCAATTCCCACCTATGACTGAGAACATGCGGTGTTTGGTTTTTTGTCCTTGCGACAGTTTGCTGAGAATGATGGTTTCCAGCTTCATCTATGTCCCTACAAAGGATATGAACTCAATTCATTTTTAAAACATCCCTGAAAATACAGCTCAGAAGACAGGCTGTCAATGCCTCTGCCTATGACATATAAAAATGCAAGAGACCCATGGAAAACTGTCTTCCAACAGGATATTCCCTCTTAAAGTAAGAAAGCTTCCCAGATAAAAATATAAATGAAACCTTTATGATCTCTGTCTATAATATGCAGAAAGTAATGACAACTTAATGTCTTATATTTTGAATGGCTGCCTCAACAAGATTTTTACCCTACTTTTCTGTTTCTGACATGTGGAAGATCTAGTATTATGAAGATCACTTTACGAAAACATGAAATATTTATTAACCTGTTTTTCAAAGACTTATTTTTTAGAGCAGTTTTATACAGCAAAATTGAGAAGGTCCAGAGATTTCCCATTTACCCCCTGCTCGCCCACACATGCATAGCCTCTCTCATTTTCAACACCCCCCGTAAAAGTAGCACATTTGTTACAATCATTGAACCAACACTAACACTTATCACCCAAAGACCACAGTTTACATTAGGGTTCACTGTTGATGTTGTAAATTCTCTGGGTCTAAACAAATGTATGATGACCCGCATCCACCACTGGTGTCCTTTAGAATTGTTTTACTGACCTAAACATCCTTTGTGTGCCACCTATTCATTGCTCTTTCAACCCGTGGCAACCACTGATATTTTACTATCTCTGTAATATTGTATTTTCCAGAATGTCATATAGTTGGAATCATACAGTATGTAACATTCAATTTGACTTTTTTTACTTAGTTATATGCATTTAAGATTCCTCCATGAGATACCTGGGTTGTATCTCATTTCTTTTTAGCACTGAATAATATTCCATTTGATGAAGCTTTTTATAAGCTTTAAGTCAGTATTGCTTGGAGGTGTCTCTTTCCTTTCCATTAATTTGCTGTTTCCCTTTCTCTGCCTCTCTTCATCTGTCTTGTGATATATTTCCTGACTCATTATAGTACATGAAAATGTAGACATTCACTGGCAGTATCACTACTCCATCAAACTACTAAGTGTCCTGCTGTCCAAGAGGAACCAGACCTGTTTCTCTTCTCTTCTTTCTCTTCTCATTTCTTCTCTTCTCTTCTCCTCTCTTCTCCTCTCCTCTCCTCTCTTCTTTCTTTCCTTTCTTTCTTTCTTTCTTTCTTTCTTTCTTTCTTTCTTTCTTTCTTCCTTTCTTTCTTTCTTCCTTTCTTTCTTTCTTTCTTCTTTCTCTCTTTTTTTTGACAGAGTCTTGCTCTGTTGCTCAGGCTGGAGTGCACTGCCTTGGCTCACTGCAACCTCCACCTCCTGGGTTCCAGCGATTCCCCTGCCACAGCCTCCCAAGTATCTGGGATTACAGGTGCCTGCCAGACGCCTAGCTAATTTTTGTATTTTTAGTAGAGACGGAGTTTCATCATGTTGGCCAGGCTGGTCTGGAACTCCAGACCTGTTTCTTTTTTTTTTAATTATGTATTTATTTATTTATTTATTATTATTATACTTTAAGTTTTAGGGTACATGTGCACAATGTGCAGGTTAGTTACATATGTATACATGTGCCATCCTGGTGTGCTGCACCCATTAGCTCATCATTTAATGACCTTGTCCCATATAAAGATGAAGGCTATCCCAGATTTCTGTCTATCACCATTTTTATAACTGATTGTCTGGCCAGGCCCTTCTCTTATTTGCCTGAGAACCTCTACCTGGATTTCTGTTTCTCTCCTTCAGCAATATGTCCAATTTACCAGGGACAATGGATCTGCTCTGTCTTCTCAGACTGACATAGGTGTAAATCTCTTATTCCTGTCACAGTCTTTATTTCCATTGCAAAATTCCTTGCTTTGACATTCAAATTCTAGAGGACCCTGTCTCTGTTTTTCTTCTCTTTTTATGCTATATCATCTCTCTTGGTGATGTACATGCTGACAGCCCCTGTTGGCATGAACAGAATCTTCTAATCTACTGGACCCACCCAGGTCCATTTCTACTAATATTCTATCCTGACATCAGTTAAAGAGGAGAGACATTATTGCACCTGAAAAGTGAGGGCTTCATGGAGGAGACCATTCATAAGGTGTGCCTTGAATAATCCTTATTTTTTTATGAGAGAGAAGACAGATCATTGTACAGTATAGAAAGTTGTAAAACTCTTTCTAATCACAAGTTTTAGTATATGTTGGGAAATTGCAGGTTAAGCCATATTTTTGATGTTTCTAAATTATATTTAAACCCCAGTGACTGTGAACTGAAATTCATATACATATTCATGGTAAGGTATGTTAATATATTTCACTGGAAAATATCTAATTACTGTGGAGATTTGAACTCTAGAGATTCTGGAAATTTTAGGAGACTTCCGTGGCTGTACATTCTTCAACATTTGTGATTAGAAAAGGCAGACAGCTAAAACAATTGGTCTGGTAAATTATTTCAAACAATATGAGGCTGCCAAATCAAGTTGCTTCTCAAGGATTGCTGGAGATGTAACATGGAAGCAAGTATTTAGTTCACAAGTAGCCCTATGCAGGAACATGCTTGAAAGGTATTCTCTATTACAGAGATAGAACTTAGAACTTGGAGGCTACTTTATACATTCTTATTAATTATAACCAGTGATAACTCCATGATTTATGTATGGAAATATGAGGAAGGCTTAAGTCAGAAAAGATTTTAAAATGCTATTAAAATTGTTTCATGTTTAATGGTTAATGACAGGATTACCCAAGAGAAGCATGAGTAAATATATGAATAAAATTAATGTGGTTTTAATTACTTTCAATTAGGCCACTTCTGATTTGTTACATTACATGAAACCTTGAGATCAAAAGACATGCATCACATTTCCTATTAAATGTGAAGAATTTTTTTTTTGATGGAGTCTTGCTCTGTCACCAGGCTGGAGTGCAGTGGTGCAATCTCGGCTCACTGGAACCTCCACCTCCCGGGTTCAAGCAATTGCCCTGCCTCAGCCTCCCAAGTAGCTGGGACTACAGGTATCTGCCACCACGCCCAGCTAATTTTTTGTACTTTAGTAGAGACGGAGTTTCCCCATGTTGGGTAGGATGGTCTCGAACTCCTGACCTCATGATCCACCCGCCTTGGCCTCCCAAAGTGCTGGGATTACAGGCGTGAGCCACCGCACCCGGCCTAAATATGAAGAATTTTATTGTTTTATATCATTCCTGTTAACTAATTTAGAAAAATGGAAATGCTTTAATTTTCTTAGTCTAAGTCAGTTTGCACACTCCTTAATGCTTGGGTTCCTATAGATCCTTATGTGGATGTCATATCATAACTAGACATATGCTATTCTACAAACATGGGTAAAATTATATATTTCTTTCTTATAGTCGACAAAAACACATGAAGCTCATTGTTGCTGCAGATGATAATCAGATGGCACAGGGTTCTCTGTTTTGGGATGATGGAGAGAGTATAGGTGAGTGCTCGATTTAGTAGATAAATTTAATTGATGTCGTATTCTATCACATTACTTTTACGTTATCTATTATTGTTCTTTGGAAGCTGAGTACAAAGCTATTAATATTATTCAAGGCTAAAAGATTTTACTAAATTCACTGAATCAACTTAAAGAGATAAACAATGTCGCAAACATTTAAAGACTTCTCTTATCCTAAATATAGTCAATCCCTATGGTAAGTGTCTAGGTAAGAAATTTGTGTGGGCAGAATTATGTATCTATTATCTTTGTACTTTCAGAAGCTAGCACAGTGCTATTCACATAATAGACACTTGGCATATATGTAAAGTTAACTTAGCTGAATAACCACATTATTATATGTGCAAAATATTGATACTATAGTGACAAAAAGGAGTGACACTTTTCCTCATTTATCATAAGGGTCACAGCCAACACCTCTATAACAAAGCACACGTTAACATGAGAAAAGCATAACAAACATATGTAATCATAGTTTTATGTAAAACAGGAACCTTCAGAATAAAGGCCCAAAGATACAGAGAATGCTCTCAGGCTTTATTCTTAGGTTCAATGAAACAGGAACTGCCATGTAGAAATGTGATTGGACAAAAAGTGTATAAGCTAATGGAAACAGATTGAGTGAGGAAATCTAGTAAGGCCTGTCCACATTCTTGTTGGCTTATTAATTGTAGCATTTCTTCCTCTCAGGTATGGGGTAAGACCCCTCTGGAAGGAGGTTGTTAACTTCTTCATGGCCAGCTGTTACACAGAAAAGCAGGAAAAGAGAGTAACATTTCTAGGCTTTATAGCTAGCTTTGGGGGAAAAGGATTCTAGTTTCTGTGACTTGCCTTTGGGAAAAGGAATTCTAGTTTCTATCACTAGAGAGTAAGGAGCAAGAGACAGGAGGGCAGGAGAAGGTCAGAGAGAAACTTTCTTCCAGTGTTGCTTCTGGGACCTTTATTCTGAGAAATCAGTTTTTGAGCCCCCAAAATGTACAAGTGGTGCCTCTACAACAAGGAGGTAGTCCAGAAACCAATCTCAAGTAAATTTGATTTCTGTGTTTTTATATCTACTCTTTTGGCTTGTTTGCTTGTTTTTGGTAGTATTTAGCATTTTTTTACATGAGGAGATATATTTTAATTTAGATCTAGGCTTATTCCATTCATAACTGTTCCTCAAGACCATACTAAACTTCTAAACTCCTAGCCATGTGAAATTCACTAACCGTTGTTATCAGAAACACCTGGGACAGCTTGCTAAGAATGCAGATTATAGGACTCATTCAAGTTTCATTAATTTTAGGAGAAACTCAGAAATCTCCCATAGGAGATTTTTATTCTGTATGTAAACACTGATAGAGGATAGGTTTACTGACTGCTATTTAATAGTGTCAGTACTACTAGATGAGCGTTCTGAACATTTTGTTGACACAAACTTTAATCAAAAAAATTGATATCTGTGTGAAGTTGACAGTTCTCTGCAATTTAAATAACTTATCCGAAGATAATAGTTTTTTCATTAATAGCAAAGACATGCATCTTTTATCTTAAAGGTAAATCATAGTTAATATTCTGCAACCATAAGAAATAATCCATTAGTAAATAAGTGTAATAAAGTTGATATAAGAATTATATGCTAGACAGCAAGACTTTTGGGAAAAATAAATCCCTCTTTTTAACATTTTGTGACTTAGAAAGTGAAGATATCAACACAAGTTAGTCCTTTGCTTTTAGAGCTCTGACCTTCATCACCGCAATGACTGAGGGTCTATGAAGTTTTCAGCCTTTCCCTTTGTGTCCAGCAGGAAATTTGCCTACAATTTCCCAGGGGTGTAAAGTTTAAGTATGCAACTTGGGATCTTTGAATCTCATAATTAACAAATTAAGTTAATTCATTTCATCAGTTAGGCAGACAAAGCTTCTCTTAGAATTTTCTCCAGCTCCTCCTATCCAACTACAGCATCGATGACAACATTTGGTGTGGACTTTACCCTATTCAAGTTTCATGGCAGACTTTTTGTAATCACTGGAAAGTACCTGAGCATAATCCAAATATTTCTCTATGATCTCCTCATGCAAGTATAAAAAATTGTTTTTTGCCAATTGGATCTACTTATTTTGTTATGTTTCACAATATCAGTATATTTGGTATAATTTAGTATAAATATTTTTAAATAGTCCCTTGAAATTTCCTGAGTTAACAGCGAAAACCATATATAGCAAATGCTTATTCTCTGGATTTGTTAGATCAGAATCTCCAAAGAGGTTTTCTCTCACAGCAAACACAACAATCTAGTTGATGGGCATCCAATCTGAAATGATGTCTTTCTTTTAAACAAACATGTTCAAATTTTGTGATATATTATAATGTGGTAACAAATTATCTTGAAATAATTAAAGGTAAATCAAAATGAACTTCTCCTAAAACTTGTTAACATTAAGTAAATTTTAACCATTCTTGATTAATAAAGTTATAGCTTAGTAAAATGTTAATTTTTCTACTTATCTTAATGAAATAGTTATATTTGTGTCCTTGACCAAGATCATATGTGAGATCTTTCTTCCTCTTATTAAAAACAACAAAGCTACCCATATCTTCGTAATAGCTGTCACTTTTGCTTTTTTTAACTCAGAATTCTATACTTAAAAGATTGTTCATGAAAACTTAAGTTGTAATTGTATATTTGAAAATAAGAACTAAAATGGTTAAGGAATATTGACACTAATATGTCTTGTAATACATATTAAATTAGCCATACATATATTAGCATACATAAAAAAGTCTTAGGCAGAATATCCATTTTAGTATAGGTAAAATCAATAGCAAATTAATTTTAGTGGGTTAATGAATACAGCCCTGATGTGTATAAGTAGATAAGAGAATAAAAATATCCTGCTTTTTCAATGTTACCCCAATACTTCTTTTATTTGACTCTACTTTGCTCTATCTTATGTATGCTTATTTGTTTTTTTACATAAAAACACAATCTTAGAAGTCAAGGAAGACTGGGTTTGATTCCAGACATTGACAGTAATTAGCTTTTTTGTTTTTTTACTTTTGGCAATTTATTTAACTGCTTTGAAAGTCACTTTACTCTTCTATACGGTGGGAATAATAATAAAATATCTTTTAGAGTAAAGTGATACAGTATTTAGAATTTGGCAAATAGTCAGCACTAAACAAGTTTTACCTGTAGGATGATCATTAAAATGAGTTTTAAATATGGCAAGATTATACTTTAAACTGATGGTGGTGGCTCATGACTGTAATCTCAGTTCTTTGGGAGGCTAAGGCAGAAGGATCATTTGAGTGTAGGAGTTCTAGACAAACCTGGGCAACATAGGGAGAACCTGCCTCTACAAAATTAAAAAAATAAAAAAGCCAGGCATGGTAGTGCATGCCTGTAGTTCCAGCCACTCAGGAGGCTGAGGTGGGAGGATTGCTTGAGCCCAGGAGGTCCAGGCTGTAGTGAGCCATGATTGTGTTACTGCACTTCAGCTGGGACAATAGAGCCAGACTTTGTCTTAAAAAAATAAAAACTAAAAAATAATGATTATACCTTAAAGAGGTGGCTATAAACCTACATTTTGCCAGTTTAATTTTAGTTGACCTGCAACAATCTCTAACTACTGAATTTGTTTTTTCAAATGACACTAGAATGTATTGCTACCATGTTCTTTTTTCCTTTATATTATTTTGTCAGTCACTAAGGTGACAAGTAAGTGTCGATTGCTATCATCACTGAATTCTGTTTATTCTTGCATTACTTGTGCACTTCTTGCCACCTTCCCACTGTTGTGTGTGAAAATTATTTTAAACCTGTTACTGTTTTATCATTACCCCTACACACACATACACCACCTAGCTTGTCCTCTTAGGACCTTACCTGGTGACTCATCCTTCATTTCCAAGGCTCCTTGGATTGTATCTGAATTAGTTAAATAGGCTTAGAGAAAAAATAGGTACATCTTGATAATATTTGCTACTTTTTATACTGGGAAAGAGAAGCAAAGTATACAGGTATTTACTATGGTTCTTCTTTGGAAATAACAATATATCACATTTTTTTTCTCTCTCTACAGACACCTATGAAAGAGACCTATATTTATCTGTACAATTTAATTTAAACCAGGTATGTAAGATTATTTATATGCAATTCTGTTAAGGAATATTTGAAGTTCACAGCTGGGTGGGGTGGCTCATGCCTGTAATCCTAGTTCATTGGGAGGCTGACATGGGAGGATTGCTTGAGGCCAGGGGTTCAAGACCTGTCTGGGCAACATAATGGGACCCCATCTCTATAAAAACATTAGCCAGTTATGGTGGCATGCAACTGTAGTCCCAGCTGCATAGGAGGCTGAGGCTAGAGGGTCACTGGAATCTAGGAGTTCGAGATGGCAGTGAGCCATGACTGCACTATTGCACTCCAGCCTGGCAGTAATGGATTCACCTCCCCTTCTCTTGCATATTTGGTGACTGAATCCAAACTTTCTGAGCCTGGGTGGCAGAGGGAGACCCTGTCTCAATAAATAGATACATAGGAAAAAAGGAAGAAAATTTGAAGTTTTATTCATGTTTATTATGTAAAATACCTTATATCAAATGCACAAATAAACAATTTATTATACTACGAAATACATTTTTGGTTAACCGACATATTTTTAAAGTTTTAATTGCTTTTGCAAATAAAGTGTTTATGTTATTCCTTTTTCTTTATTTATAGACCACCTTAACAAGCACTATATTGAAGAGAGGTTACATAAATAAAAGTGAAACGAGGCTTGGATCCCTTCATGTATGGGGGAAAGGAACTACTCCTGTCAATGCAGTTACTCTAACGTATAACGGAAATAAAAATTCGCTTCCTTTTAATGAAGACACTACCAACATGGTAAGTAATGTAAGAAAATATTTTTCAAAAGCGTACGTATTTAAAGCATCTACATGGACTTCTTATATCCCTCATCTGTAAGAAACATAATTATGAGTCAATTATGACATTCTTCATATATTCCTTTTCATTAGGCCTCCATATTTATTTCCTTATTACTATCCTTAGTAAACTGTCATACAAATCAATCTAATGACATCTATTTTATTCTTATTATGATACAATCACAGCAAAATTAACTTAAAACTTTAAATAACTGTTATCCCTATATGATAAAGTGCCTCAGAAAATACTTTTTTAAAAATAAGATATCTGCATTTAAACATTGACTATGTCTTGAAAATGTATTTGAAAATTCTTGCAAACTTAATAAAACTGTCAGCACCCATTAATACAGGAGTGTGATACATATGATACAGATAATACACAAGGAATCAGGATTCTTGCGTTAAAGCATCATTGCTGCCAGTATTTAGCTCTTTACTTTGAACAAAAAATTTTAGGCCTATTATTCTATCCAATTGAATAGAAAAAAATGCAAGTAAATGATCAATCTCTTAAGCTCCTTCCAGTTCTAAATTCTGTGAATCTATGGCTTGCAAAGGTGAATTTCAAACACATGTTCTAGAAAACAGCTAACTGTTTTAGGTGTTCATTTTAAGTTTAAGCCTACTTATGCACTACTAAAACTGTGTAAATTTGTGTGCACCCACCCTTAATCGTTTAAACTTGGATAAAAACAAAGAGCCTTTAATCAGTCACTTTAGATGAACTTAAATTCTAAAATTGTCAGATGTTCGACTAACTTGAACCTAAAAAAATATATATATATGCATTTGGACACAGTCCTAGGTCCTTGTAGGTGTCAGAGGATGTCAGAGTTAAACAGCACCTGAAAGTCTGTTCCATCTTTTTGAAACTCAACACCCATCCTACTGCTACTGCTGTTTTGTTGACAAGTGGGGTTTTCCTTTAATATGGAACTATGTTTTTCTTACTGCTTTTGCACTGCAACTCGCTATTTTTCTTAAAACTGTATCAAGAATAGGAAATATAAAATAAAATTTCCCAACTTTGATATATTTAATGTCCTTCCTCGGTAAAATAAAAGTTAATATCTTAGTGCCTTACACTCATATTTTTATTTTTATAATTTGACTGATTTATAAAATTCCAGAATACCTGATCTAGTCCAGTAGTCTTATGTGGGTGACAAAGAAATTAAGTCCCCAAAGAAGGAAATTAATTCCCCAAAACAACTACTCAATAGTTATCAATCACAATTAGAAATCACTTTTTTGCACGGTCCAATGTTCAATCAGATAAAGAAAAGACGGTTTGGCTTAGATAATATCTTACCTTTTATTTACTAAATTACAATGGCGAAAATTAAGCTCACAACTTTTATGGTAAAAATAAAGCAAATAAACAATGCCAAATAAGATATTTTAATATTTTGGGGTGTTATTTCAAGGTCGTTTTGATCAAATATGTAGCATAAAAACAAACCATTAAAAATCATTTTTTTCTATTCTCTTTAAAAACATTCACAAAGAATTTTAAGTGTTGAGAACAAATATTTGACAGTGTTTCATTACCTCAGTGATGAAGAAATATACATTTACTTTAACCAACAACTCTGGGCAGTTCCTTCTAAGTGCATTTAAATAAACTCAGTATTTATGAGTAATCACTGTTTTCCAAGCCTTCATAGATACATAGGAAAGGAAGAGAGGATGGTCAATTTCTTTCTCCACCCTGCTTGTCCTTTAATTTATGCAAGAGATTATTTAATTGCTCTAGCAATATAATTTCAAAAGCATTTTTCTAGTAACAATTATGTCCAGCTGATTTATGTAAAAAGTATTAAAAGCTATGTGGTGTATTTTTGCTTTCTACCTTTAAGTTAAAAAAATAGTTTAAGTTTTGTTACAAGATGGATCTGTTTTAAACCTGTCTAACGAATACTCAATTATTTAACTATTACTTTTTAAATTAATTTATCAAATGTGGTAAATTAATCCAAATGTGCTGTGCTTTAAGGAAGATTAAATTTTATAAAGCCCTTATGAAAAGACCTGGTATGTGGTAGGTAGTAAAGGATTCACCTCCCCTTCTCTTGCGTATTTGATGACTGAATCCAAACTTTCTGAGCTAAAGCACAGAAAATCTTATCAGTTCATTGGACAAAAAGGAGCAATGGTAAAGTCTCCTGAAATCGTCATATCATAAAACTATGACAGAAGATCATTTGACTACAGCAACTTAATAATCTCCATGATAGAGATAATAATCTCTCTAGAGTCTACTTTAGATTATCTCCAGTGAAATAAAGTAACACATGCAAAATTGAATCATTGGCAATAAATGAAGCATCATAAAATCTTTTTTGATTGAGTTAAAATAACACTTTTAAATCTAAACTTTGGCTGAAAATGACTGGATAATACTTGACAAAGGGATGCATTGAGATTCATGCGGTGCAGTTATAAATAACTCCATATTTCAAAATTATGTGAAAAGAGTAAAGTCATAGAAATCAATAAAATTGGCTGAGAGTTTTGGGTTTTTCAGTATCTTTTGACAGCAACTTCACCTTTCTGAGATTTATTTTAACCTTAGGTAAAATGGATAGGTTGGGTGAAATTGTTGCTGAAATGGTTGCAAACTTTCTGAGAGTAAAAATTTCTCAAGATATAAAAGAAAATAAAGGTATATACTATTTATTAGAAAACTTTTTTGAAATAGCATTCATGAAAATAAGAAAAATGTGGTTGTGATTAAACAACTAATTATTATTTTACTTTTTTAGATATTACGTATTGATCTGACCACACACAATGTTACTCTAGAAGAACCAATAGAAATCAACTGGTCATGAAGATCACCATCAATTTTAGTTGTCAATGGGAAAAAACACCAGGATTTAAGTTTCACAGCACTTACAATTTTCCCTCTTCACTTGGTTCTTGTACTCTACAAAATATAGCTTTCATAACATCGAAAAGTTATTTTGTAGCGTACATCAATGATAATGCTAATTTTATTATAGTAATGTGACTTGGATTCAATTTTAAGGCATATTTAACAAAATTTGAATAGCCCTATTTATCCTTGTTAAGTATCAGCTACAATTGTAAACTAGTTACTAAACATGTATGTAAATAGCTAAGATATAATTTAAACGTGATTTTTAAATTAAATAAAATTTTTATGTAATTATATATACTATATTTTTCTCAATGTTTAGCAGATTTAAGATATGTAACAACAATTATTTGAAGATTTAATTACTTCTTAGTATGTGCATTTAATTAGAAAAAGAGAATAAAAAATGTAAGTGTATAAAATGTGCATTTTGTCTTTATTTTCCTAATGGAAATTGTCTTAGCTTGCACTGCTATAACAATTTATCATGGACTGGGTGGCTTAAACAACAAACATTTATTTATTACAGTTCTGAAAGCTGGGATGCCTGATATCAAGACATTAGCAGATCCACTGCTGATGGTGGCAGTCTTTATGGCTTACAGACAATTATCTTTTTGTATCCTCATATGGCAGAGAGAGAGGAAGAAAACTCTCTCATGTCTCTTTTTATAAGAGCACTAAGGTGCAGGATACAAAATCAACATGCAAAATTTAGTAGAATATCTATATGCCAATAATGAACTATCTGAAAAAGGAAAACAATCCCATTTACAATAGTCACACACACACATAAAAATCACACCACCACCACCAACAAAAAATCTCTGGGAATAAGTTTACTCAAGCAGGGGTAAAATATGTATAAGGAACACTAGAAAACATTGATGAAAAAAATTGAGGAAACACAAATAAGTGGAAAGATATCCCATGCTTATAAATTGAATACAAAAATAAGTTAAAATATTCATACTACCCAAAGTGATCTACATATTTGATGCAATCTCTATCAAAATACTAGTAACTTTCTTCACAGAAATAGATAAAGCATTCCTAAAATTTGTATTGAACCACAATTGACCCAGAATAACCAAAGCAATCTTGTGTAAAAAGAATAAAGCTAGAGGCATTACACTACCTGACTTCAAAATATACTACAATGCTATAGTAACCAAAAGAGCATGGTACTGACATTAAAAAAAAAAAAATACACACAGACCAATGGACCAGAATAGAGTCTGGAAATAAATTCGTGCATTTAGAGCCAACTGATCTTTGGCAAAGGCGCCAAGAACACACATTGAGGAAAAGACAGTCTCTTCAGTAAATAGTGGTGGGAACACTGGCTATCCACAGGCAGAAGAATAAAACCAGATTCATATCTCTCAGCATATATAAAAATGAACTCAAAATAATTAAAGACTTAAAGAGTTGAACTATGAAACTACTTGAAGGAAACATAGGAAAAATACTTTATGACATTGGTCTGAGTGAGAAATTTTGGATAGAACCTTCAAAGCACAGCCAATGGGAGCAAAAAGAGACAAATATAATGGTATCAAACTAAAAATTATCTTTATAGCAGAGAAAGCAATCAGTAAAGTGAAAAGATATTCCCCAAAATGAGGGAAAATATTTGCAAACTATGCACCTGACAAGAGGTCCACATCCAAAATATACAAGGAATTCCAACAACTCAATACCAAAACAACAAATAATCCAATTTACAAATGAGCAAAAGGCCTGAATACACATTTCTTAAAAGAATACATACAAATAGCCAGCAGATATATCACAAAATGTCCAACATTACTAATCATCAGGAAAATGCAAATGAAAACCACAAGGAGATATTATCTCACCTGAGTTAGAATGTCTGTTATAAAAAAGACAAAAAATAACAAATCCTGGCAAGGATACATAATAAAGGGACATTTTACATTGTTGGTGGGAATATAAATTAGTATAGCAATTATGGAAAACAGTATGGAAGGTCCTTAAAAGACTAAAAGTAGAACTACAAAATGATTTGGCAATTTCATTACTGGTTGTCCAAAAAAATTGAAATCAGTGTGTCGAAAAGATATCTGTACCCCTTTGTTTATGGCATCACTATTCAAAATAGCCAAGAGAATGAATCAACCTATATGGCCATAATGGGTGAATGGATAAGAAAAGATGGTATATATATGCAACTGAATATGATTCAGCTATGAAAAAGAATGAAATCCTGTCATTTGTGAAAACATGAATGAACCTGGAGGACACAATGTTAAGTAAAATAAATCAGGCAGAGAAAGACAAATACTCGATAATCTCACTTATTAAGATAAAACAAACAAACAAAAAGCTTATCTCATAAAAATGAAGAGTACCATAGTGGGTATCAGAGGCTAGGAATGGGAGAAATGAAGGGGGTATGAAGGGAGATAGGACAACAGGTACAAACTTACAGTTAGATAGGAAGAATAAGTTCTAGTGTGCTATCAGGTAGTAGAGTGAATATAGCCAATAATAATCAACTGCATGTTTCAAGGTTGCTAGAAAAGAAGATCTTGAAAGTTACCACTACAAAGAAATAAAAGTTTGAGGTGATGAACATGCTAACTATCCTGATTGGATCACTATACAATGTATATATGTATTGAAATATCTCTCTGTACTCCATAAACATGTACAATTATTATGGTGTGAATTATAAACACAATTTTAAATATCAATTGACCATAAATTAATGGGTTTATTTAAAAACTCTCAATTCTATTCAACTGAACAGTATGTCCACCTTTATGCTAGTACCACATTATTTTGATTACTCTGGCATTGTGGTTAAGTTTTGAAATCAGCAAGTACAAGTCCTCCAATTCTGTTCTTTTTCAAAATAGTTTTGCCTATTCTGTGTCTCTTGATTTTTTTATGAATTTGAGAATCAACTTGTAAAATTCTATAAAAATAGTAGGTGGGATTTGACAGAGTATGTGTTGATCTTTAGCTCAGTAGGGGGAGTACTGCCATCTTAACAATATTAGGCATTCCCGTCCATAAACATAAGATGGATTTCAACTTATTTAAAAGTGTTAAACTTCTTTCAACAGTGTTTCGTAGTTTTCAGTATATAAATCTTCAATTTATTTTTGTTAATTTTAGTCTAAGATATTTTATTCACTTTAATTCTGCTGTAAAATAGTCTTTTAATTTCATTTTCAGATTATGTACTGCTAGTGTATATGAATACAATTGATTTTTATATATTATTAGTTACAACAGTTTTCTTGGAAGTAATAGAGTTTTCTACAAAAAAAGATTATGACTTCGGCAAATAGAGATACTTTTACTTCATTTCAATATTGATAGAAGTGGTAAGAATATATATCATTGTCTTATTCCTCCTGTGAAGGGAAAAATATTCAGACTTTCATTATTAAGTATGATAACTATTAGCATTTGTTTTGTTTTGTAGGTGTCCTTTATCAGGTTGACAAATTTCCCTTCTTTTCCTAATTTATTGAGTATTTTTCCATAAAAGTTTAAGATATTTTTGTCAAGTGAATTTTCTGTATCTGCTCAGATTATCATATGGTTTCTGTTCTTTAGTCTATTAATATGGTGTACTACATTGGTTGTTTATCAGAGGCTAAACAATCGTATTCCTGGGAGAAACCCAAATTAGTCATGGTTTATAACAGAATATCTAAAACTATGTAATTTATAAGGAAAATAAATTTACTACTTCCATTCGTGGAGGCAGACAACTCCAAGATCAATGAGCGGCATATTGTTATAGTCTTCTTTCTGGTGGGGACTCTGAAGTTTTGAGGTAGCACAGAGCATCACGTGGGAAGAGGACTAAGCATGCTGGCTCCTGTCTCTCTTCTGCTTATCAAGCCACAAGTATCACACCCATGATAACCCACTAATCCATTACTCGATAAATAGGTTAATCCATTCTGAGAGCTCTGCCTTCATGATCAAATCACTTCTTAAAGGTCCTACTTCAATATTGCTATATCGGGAATTAAATTGCAACATGAGTTTGGAATGGAAAAACACACAAATGATAGCAGATTTGGTATTATTTGTTCAAATGTTTGGTAGAACTCACCAATGAAACCATCTAGGCCTGAGCTTTTTTTTGAGGGCAACATTTTTATTACTATCTTACTTCTTACTTGTTACAGCTTATAGGTCTGTTGTGGTTTGGCTGTGTACCCACCCAAATCTCATCTTGACTTGTAGTTCCCACAATCCTGATGTGTCATGGGATGGACCCAGTGAGAGGTAATTGAATCATGGGAGCAGTTACTTCCATGTTGCTGCTACATGATAGTGAGTGAGTTCTCATGAGATTTGATGGTTTTATAAGGGGCTTGTCCCCCTTTTGCTCGACACTTCTTTCTGCCACCATGTGAAGAAGGATGTGTTTGCATCCCCTTTCACCATGACTGTAAGTTTCCTGAGGCCTCCCCAGCCATGCTGAACTGCGACCCAATTAAGTTTCTTTCCTTTATAAATTACCCAGTCTCGGTTATGTCTGTAATAGCAGCATGAGAATGTACTAATACGAGGTCTACTCTGATTTTCTTTTTCTTTTTGTGTCAGCTTTTGTCACTTTTGTCTTTCTAGAAAATTATCCATTTCATCTAGGTTATCGAGAGGTTGGCAAATAGTGGAGAAATAGTTGTTCTTAGTATTTCCTTTTAATTATTTTCTTGCTATAATGTCAGTAGTTATGCCCCCTTTTTCCTTCTTGAGTTTAGTAATTTTGTTACAGGTAGCTAGGCATGAGCAGGGCAGGAAAGAGCTCCCTCCCAACCCACTAGAATGTCAGATGATGGTTCGGCAATTATCAAATTACCTCTCTAAAAATAATTTGGCAGTGCCAGGGAGAGACAATTTCCTGATGGTCCACACCTGTTAACATCAAAATGTTAATTGAATGCAGACCTCAGGAAGAAGCAACTTCCTGGGCACACATGTTAAGAGACAAAAATAGTAAAGTATGATCTTCTGGTGGCACACTCCACCAGAAAAGGGAAGAAAGCCTCAGATGGGGATTTATGTAACTCCCTAAACATGATGCACATGCTCAATTCCAAAGGGTAAGGAAGGCTTTTCTCAATTCCAAAGCATGCGGAAAGCCCATCCTAAGGAAAGAATCATGGGAAAGAGGCGAGCTCTTAAAAGTCCTAGGATTATAGTTAAACAGGGCACTTGACCTTCTCTCTTTAACATTCACGTGCCAACTTGGGTCTCTTCCAAGCACGCCTTTCTTTCTTTTCTGTTCTAAGGCCTTTTACAATAAACTTCTATTCCTGCTCTGGAACTTTCCTCAGTCTCTTTCTGCTTTATGCCCCTCACTTGAATTATTTATTCTGTGGAGGCAAGACTGAAGTTATGGATTTGAAAGGATAGGCCGCCAATAACTTGAAATAACTCATATATCTTCCACTGATACCAATTTGAGTCTTCTCTATTTCTTTCTTGGTCAATCTAGCTATAGATTCGTTAACTTTTTGAAGTTTAAAAGAAGCAGCTTTTTAATTTTTTCAAAACATTTTTCTCCATTTTTTACTCTTTATTCCACTTACATTCCACTCTTCATTATCTCTTTATTTTGGTATGCTTTGAGGTTAGTTTTTCTCTCCTTTTTCAACATAATAAGATGGAATGTTAGATAATTTATTCAAAGTATTTATTCTTTTCTTAAAAATAATATAGATATTTACAGGTATCAATTCCCTTCTAATCATAGTTGTAACAGACTCCCATAAGCATAATTTTATATTTTGCCTTTATTCTCATTCATCTCAAAGTATTTTCTTTTTTTAACTTTTATTTTAGGTTCAATGGTACATGTGCAGGTTTGTTATATAGGTAAGCTCATGTCATGGGGGTTTGTTGAATAGATTATTTCATCATCCAGATATTAAACTTAGTACCCAATAGTTATTTTTTCTCATTCTCTCATCTCCTGCCTCCTTCCACCCTCCACCCTCAAGATGGGCTCAGTGTCTGTCATTCCCTTATTTGTATTAATGAGTTCTCATCATTTAGCTCCCACTTATAAGTGAGAACACGTGGTGTTTGATTTTCTGTTCCTGCATTAGTTTGCTAAGTATAATAGCCTCTAGCTCCATCCATGTTCCTGCAAAAGACATAATCTCATTCATAAAAAATTGAATCAAACTGAATTACAGACATAAATCTAAGACCTGAAATAATAAAACTACTAAAAGAAAAAATTGGGGAAATTCCCTAGGACTTTGGGCATAGATTTCTTGAGCAATATCCCACAATCACAGGCAATCAAAATAAAAAATAGACAAATGGGACCATGTCAAGTTAGAAAGATTCTGCACAGCAAACAATCAACAAAGAGATAATTCATAGAATGGGACAAAATATTTGCAAACTATCCATTTGACAAGGGATTAATAACAAGGTTGTATAAGAATCTCAAACAATAGGAAAAAATCTAGTAATCTGATGAAAATGAGCAAAAGTCCTGAATGGACATTTCTCAGAAGGTGTACAAATGGCAAACAGGCATACGAAAATGTACTCAGCATCACTGATCATCAAAGCAATGCAAATCCAAACTGCAATGAGATATCTCATCCCAGTAAGACAGACAATAACAAATGTTGGTGAGGTTGTGAAAAAAGGGGAAACTTCTTACACTATTCATGTAAATGTAAATTAGTACAGCCAGTATAGAGAACAATATAGAGTTTCTTCAAAAAAGTAAAAATAGAACTCTCACACAATTCAACAATCTTACTGCTAGGTATATACCCAAAAGAAAACAAATCAAAGACATATCTGCATTCCCATGTTTATTGCAGCACTATTCACAGTAACCAAGATTTGAAGCAAGCCATATGTCCAACAACAGACGAATAAATACAGAACACGTGGTACATATACATAATGGAGTATTACTTAGCCGTAAAAAAGAATGAGATCCTGTCATTTGAAACAACATGGATGGAACTGAATAACATTATATTAAGTGAAATACACCAGGCACAGAAGGACAAACTTCACATATTTTCACTTATTTGGGGAGCTGAAAATTAAAACGATTGAACTTCTGGAAGTCGAGAGAGGAACCATGGTTACCAAGACTGGGAAGGGTGGTAGGCGGCTGGTCGAGGGGAAGTGGGGATAGTTAACGAGTAAAAATAAATAGTTAGAAAAAAAAAGATAATATCTACTATTTGATAGCACAACAGAATGACTGTCAATAATAATTTATTATACATTTGAAAATAACTAATAGAGTATAATTTGATTGTTTATAACACAAAGGATAAATGCTCCAGGTGCTGAATACACCATTTATCCTGGATGTGGTTATTTCACATTGCATACCTGTATCAAAATATCTCAAGAACTCCATAAATATATCCAAATATTACATATCCATTAAAATTACAAAGTAAATAAATTTTAAAATGTGTTTAGAACCCAGTCTCTACTAAAAATACAAAAATTAGCCGGGCATGGTGTCAGGTGCCTGCAATCCCAGCTACTCAGCAGGCTGAGGCTGGAGAATCGCTTGAACCCAGGAGGTGGAGGTTGCAGTGAACTCTGTCTCAAAAAAAAAAAAAAAAAAAAAAAAAAGGATGTGTTTAGGGGAAGGAAATAATAGCACAGCCACTTTGGATAGGAGTTTGCAAATCTTAAAAATTAAGTGTTCACTTGCTATCTGACCTAGCTATCTCATTTCCATGTATTTATCCAACTTAAACAAAAGCATGTGTTCACAGGAAAAAATTTATGTGTAAAATATTTTAGTGGCTTTATTCCTAATTGCCAAAACCTAAAAACCACCCAAATGTCTCTCAACTAGGTGATCCATAAATAAGCCATTATGTGCCACATTTTCTTTATCCAGTCTAACATTGATGGACATTTGGGTTGGTTCCAAGTCTTTGCTATTGTAAATACTGCTGCAATAAACATATGTGTGCATGTGTCTTTATAGTAGAATGATTTACAATCCTTTGGGTATATACGCAGTAATGGGATTGGTGGGTCAAATGGTATTTCTGGTTCTAGATCCTTGAGGAATCGCCACACTGTCTTCCACAATGGTTGAACTAATTAACACTCCCACCAACAGTGTACAAGTGTTCCTATTTCTGCGCATCCACTCCAGCATCTGTTGTTTCCTGATGTTATAATGATTGTCATTCTAACTGGCGTGAGATGGTATCTCATTGTGGTTTCGATTTGTATTTCTCTAATGATCAGTGATGATGAGCTTTTTTTCATATGCTGGCTGGCTCCATAAATGTCTTCTTTTGAAAAGTGACTGTTCATATCATTTGCCCAGTTTTTGATAATTTTTTCTTATAAATTTGTTTAAGCTCCTTGTATTTTCTGGATATTAGCCCTTTGTCAGATGGATAGATTGCAAAATTTTTCTCCCATTCTGTAGGTTGCCTGTTCACTCTGATGACAGTTTCTTTTGCTGTGCAGAAGCTCTTTAGTTTAATTAAATCCCATTTGTCAATAAAAAAGAATGAGCTCATGTCCTTTTCAGGGACATGGATGAAGCTGGAAACCATCATTCTCAGCAAGCTAACACAGGAACAGAAAACCAAACACCATATGGTCTCACTCATAAGTGGGAGCTGAACAATGAGAACACATGGGCACAGGGAGGGGAACATCACATACCGGGGCCTGTCGGGATGTTGCGGGGAAGGGGAGCAATAGCATTAGGAGAAATACCTAATGTAGATGATGAGTTGATGGGTGCAGCAAACCACCATGGCACATTTATACCAACGTAACAAACCTGCACTTTCTGCACATGTATCCCAGAACTTAAAGTATAATAATAATAATAATAATAATAATAATAATAATAATATGCTCTAATAAAGCAACTATTTAAAATTTTAAAAAATAAACTATTATACACCCATAAATGAAATGAGCTACTGATACCTGTAAAATCCTGGATGAAATTCAAATGGCTTGCACTAAGTGTAGGAAGCCAAATTCAAATGCCAAAAACTTTATGATTTCTTTTTGAAAACATTATATAATAGCAAGACTATAGAGGCAGAAGTTAGACCATGGTTATCAGGAGAATGGAGTGTGGTAAGTGTTTTACTACAAAGGGCCACAGAAAAACCTTTTCAGATAATGGAACAGTTTTATATCTTTAATTTGGTGACAGTTACACAGCTGTATGAGTTTCTCAAAACTTGCAGAACTGCACACCTAAAGTGTAAATTTTACCATAAAAGAGGTCACATACAAAAGCAAACATACAATATGATGCCAAGTATATAAAGATAAAAAAACAGGCAAGACCAGCTAATTGTGATAGAAGCCATGATTGACAGCCTTCATGGAGGTAGTAACTGGAGAGACATAGAGGTGCTTTCTGAGTGTTGGTAACATTTTTCTTGATTACATTATTAGTTTTAAATATGGATTCATTGTACCCAAAACTTAAAATAAAAGTTGAAATAAATAAATAAATAATGACAAAAATCAAGAAAGCAAGCAAGCAAGAAAGACGGATTCTTTTTGCAAAAATTTCTTTAGCTCTACATGTAGTTTACTATTTGCATGCATTTTTATATGTACATTTTAATAAAAAGTTACCATATTTGAGGGATTTATAAGATGAGTTAAATAGAAACATGTTTGGTGGTTTATATTTAGTTCCTGTGTATTTTTTCTTGAAGGAGTCCTTGTCTTATTATGTGAAAAAATTGTTAATACATAAGCATAACACGCTCCATACCCTTAAATTTTATATCTAGGACAAAGATCATCTTAACAGCAATAACTGCAGAATAGATGTAAATATACTTGTTTCTGAAACCATATGACAATATACAATAAAATCCTGATAGATGTTCTTTTTATAAGTCATTTTATTCCAAATTAGTTTGACATTTTCCAAGATTCAGCCAATAGTTTTCTGCTGGTCTCTTGCTTCATGTTCTCTCTTGATGATATTATTAATCCTTTTGGTTTCAAGTATCCTCCTAATGAGAACAACTATCACATAAGCAACCCCCATACTTTTTTAATGCTCAATTTCAAACTCATGTTTTAATCTGCCTATGAGGTAAGGTATACTTTTTAATTCTTAAAATGTATTATTATATGGCAATATAGTCACATGGCTCAAAAATTAAAAAAATAAGTAGTGAAACTATTCTCTCAGACACCTGGCACTAAGTATTCATTTGTCCTACAAGCAATGTATCATCTTCTTATGTATACCACTGTGGGTATTTCATACGTATTCAAGAAAACTTATTTTCATGTTCTTTTCCACCACAACCCCCTTTAAGTTACACAAATGGTCAGACTAGCATGTGCTTTAGTCTTCTGAAACTCACTCAATCAGAAATTGAACATGTAACATCTATAAGTCATAAAATTAAGATCAGAGAATGTTTGCAGGTCACTGAGCACATTTATTCTCACCTTTCCCCCAAGACAGTTCCTCCTCCTTTCTTTCATTGCATAGTCACAATTCTATAGACAGAGACTTGGAATTTTTATTTATTCATGTATTATTACTATTAATTATTGTTATTATTTTAGAGACAGGGTCTCACTCTGTCACCCAAGCTGGAGTGCAGTGACAGTTATAGCTCACTGCAGCTTTGAGTTACAGGTCTCAGGCAATCCTCTCCACTCAGCCTCCTGAGTAGCTAGGACTACAGGCAAGCATCACTACACCCAGCTATTTTAAAATTTTTCTGCAGAGATAGGAACTCCCTATGTTACCCAAGCTGGTCTTGAACTCCTGGACTCAAGTGACCCTGTCACCTCAGCCTCCCAAAGTGCCGTGATTACAGGCGTGCACCACCATGCCTGGCCCTTGAAAATTTTGACATTATTTTTTATTTGTTTTTAGTTTCTTCCACCCATCCATCCAACCTCATCCATTTTTTGCACAATGGCATTTATTAATTTTGTCCCTCCTTTTCTTTACAACAACGATCACATAATGAAGACCCTCATTACCTCGTTTGTATCATTAAAAACAATTTGTAATTAGACTCCCTGCCTTCAAACCTTCATCCTGTAATCCACCCTAAACACTACCTCCAGATAAATTGTCCCCAGATTTCACTGTCATGATTCCTCATTTACTTCTCACCATACTTGAAAAGTTCTTCATTTCTTTGTGACACAGTTAAAGTCTAAAACTGTTAGCCCATCGTGAAAGAGCCATCATGTGAGGCTCTCTGCATCCTGAAGCTATGAGAGTGAGCTAAGGATAGTGGATGTGAAATCAGAATTTGTTTCTGAATCCATATTTCACCAACTGGTAAATGATGATCGCATGGTATGCTAATAATTTTCAAATATCATCTTAATTTGTCTTCATTAACATTTAATAGTTATGTAGTATCATCTTACTCATTTTATAAATGAGGAATGTAAGGAACAGAAGGCTAAATAACTTGCCCAAGGCCATATATCTAATAAATAAAAAAAAACTGACTCTACCGCACGTATCACCAACACACTGTACCATCTCACTTAAGCTCTCTAATCTTCAGTTTCCTCGCCTACACAGTAGGGGTTAGGATGGGGCCTATTTAATCAGTTTATTGAGAGCATGCATGGAACTTCCAGTCCACTAGGCACATGGTAGTCATTTACTGAAAAGTATCTCTATATATCTAAATCTGCTGTCTCCTGGGCTTTATTTTCAGAATGCTCAGTTTCATCACATTTTCTGGCCAATTTATGTATCTTTTAAAACCTCTTAAATATAATTCAAATTTTTCTGCAATTATTATCACTATTGTCATTTAATAATTATCCATATAAAGGCATAATCAGCAAATTAATTTATTTAACTAAAATTTTTATATTTAATTTAAATAAAGTTATTCAAATGTTTATGTATATTATCTGTTAGTAGATTATAAGTTTCTTTTGACTAATTATTTTACTCCTTTTTTCCATCTTCAATATTCTTATAATGATATCTTGCTCATAAAAAGCACATTAAATAAAAAGCTGTGATCACATTACATTTTGAAAACACCTTACTTAGACTTATGACAAATGTATCAATCTGTTCAGATGGAAAGAAAAGAAAAAATATACCTAAAACACAATAAATGTTTTTATTATACTTCAAGTATCTAATTTTTTTCTTATACAAATGGCATTAGGACTATAAAATACTAAAATACAACTATAATCTCATATTTACTTGAGAATTCTTATCTGTTTTTGGCAGTGCAAATTGTTCTATTAAGTTGTTTGGCAAAATTTCATGCAGAAATAAATTTCAAACATACTACCTCCCACTGCTAAGCTTTATTCACTACATGTTTTGTACATTTTTCATTGCAGTATGACTATTCAGAAAGTTGAAGAATACTACAAACACCTGAGCAGTAAATGTCTAATATTAACTTATATAACACAACAAAGTAGACCCCAAATCTAGGTTTCTATAATTATTCTATAGGGTTAATATGTGTGAATAGAAATTTTTTAATACCTCATTCACACCTGAAGAATAATTCTGCTATGAGCCTTTCGAAATGTAACCTGGCAAATTGGCACCACATTTGGTGAATTTAGCCAACTAGGGAAATACCGAAGATGTTTTTATTCATTTCTCTCATTGAACGCTGATCAATCTTAGGATTATTGTGAGATGTGGGCCTCTATGAATTGCAAAGAAGTGAGAGTTGGGCACATAGAGATGATTTAGGTTTGTTTGTTTTCAAGTCTCCTTGACACTTGAATGTGGGCATTTCCAGTAGAGATTTATAGATTCTATACTGTAGCAGCTTTGGCAGCCAACTTTGATGGGCATAGACTTTTTCATCTTAGGTTGTTAGATCAGATTGCAAGAGACTGAACTCAGGCAATGCGCTTTATTGTATATAAAAGGAATTAAAATACACAAGGAAGTAAGAGAGCATAAGAAAAAAAAAAGGAGGCTCATTAGAGAATTGGCAGCTTTAAATTTGCCATTTATCCTCCTTTTTTTATTATTATCATTTTTATACAGACACTACCAGTGGTTTTTCTCCTTTCCAACCTTTGCCACTGCTTACCCATGACTTCTGTGTTTCATCTTCTCTCTACATGTCTTGGTTTTAGTCCCAAAGAAAAATAGTGTTACTTGTTGTTTTGCTCATCTGTTGCTGTGAGAAAAAGAAAATAAATAAAGCAAAACAAAACAAAAACTCATTCTCAGATTTTGTGGTTTAAAACAATTTTATCTTTCATGGTTCCATTAGCTTGCATGGGGGTGTGTCATATGGTGCCAGTCAGATATAGGTTGGCACTGGATCAATTTGAAGACTGGATTGGCTAGAAATAGATTACGTCTTTACTTACATTTGTTGTCTTAGATTTTATCCTCATGTTCTCACTCTACATTTTGAGTTGCTTGGACTTCTTCTGTGGAAACCCAGAGCTCCAAGAGTCAAGAAGTGATTTAACTAGAAAAACAGTTACAAACTAACCGTTTCATGGAGCTGGGGTTGAAGGAATAGACTCTCTCCATGGAGGAATGGCACACACAAGGAGGGGAAAACTGATGGAAGACTTCTGAGTTTTATATCCTTTCCCTTTGGCTTCTTCTTTCTGTCTTTTGCCACATTGTTGGCACTAAAGGTCTTCCTTCCCTCCACTGTATTAATTTCACTGGGGCTCATATTTAGAAAAATTATCTTATATATATTAAGCAAGATGCTTCTTGGAAAATTAATTTATACTCTACTTATCTATCAATCATCCATCCATATAATTTGAGGTTAAATAGATTAGAACAACATGAAAATATAAAAATAAGGGGGCAGTTATGTGGAAATTAAACCTGAGCTATGTAAAAATTGTGCACATTTCTGTTTTCTCTAATTTTCTCCATTTATACCATGAAATTAAATCTGTTGTTTCTTTTCTGATTATTAAGTCATCCCAATGGCAAATTTTTATTTGACATAAATAGAAATAGTGGTTGTCTGGGAAATATCTTAGAAAAAATAGAATAAATGATAAGTATAATGAGAAAATTACCTTTTTTTTTTTCCTTTTTGCACAGATTTGAAAATGTCATGGTAGGTGAGGAGAAATGGAAAATAAGGGAGGGGCAAATGAATTAGTATCATTAGTGCTCTCTTCTAGGAATAAAATGAGTCTAACTTAGCCTACCTGATGATATTATTTTTTACTTACATCAAAGGGGTGAGAGAAGAACTCTCTCTGGGAGATCTTTTGGTTCAACAAAGTGGGGAATGTTGAGAGTCACCTTTTGAGCATTCTGAAAGCTTACAGAGCAGAGTGAGGTGCTTCTTTCTTTGTAATTACAATTTTAATGAATATAAGTTTCAAATTTCATATAAGTTGTATAACCATAAGGGAAATAAAATACTTTATTAGCCTATAGTATGCTTTATTTTTCTAGATACAACTGACATCCTAGAGACTGAAGGAAGTGACAAAGTAATCAATAAGTGAAACATTTCATAATCTCTCTTAAGATTATGGGTAGTAGCTCACCATTAACAAGTACTACAGTTTGCAGTTGCGTGTTCATATTTTTTAACTTTTATTGTTTTATTTCAAAATTTAATTTTTTTCTTTTTTTTAATCAAATAGTACTTTATATTTCAGGTCCAATTAAAGTTTGGAGAAATTGTCCAAAATGTATCTTTAATGAAATTTTTTTCTTCTCTTACTTGTCTGTTCTCATATCTCTTTGTTACATTCTTAGTTATTTCAATAATAATAAAAATTCTCTGGATAGCTGTATATATATTTTCTTTAACTTGACATATCATGTAGGACTTGACATTATTAGTTCTTTTATCTTATAATTATTCCCTTAACCAACTAGAGCTTTTCAGATTTTATTTCTCACTTATGTTTCTGCCATCTGTTTGGTTAAGATTTTACCCCGTGACATGATATTTTATTCATGATCTTTCATGTCACTTTAGTATTAAAATACGTTGTAAGGTTCTTTGATGTAACTTTCTCTTTATTATAGATATCAATATTGGTTTTATTTTGATATGAATATTAACAGTATGAAATAACCACTTGCTAGCATCATTTTACTTTAAAAATGAGACAATAAAATAGGTTAACCATAAGATAAAACATGTATTACTGTACTTAATCTCATTATCATGCAGAGTTTGTACTTATCATCAACTGTTATTATATTTCTTATTAGTAAGTTAGGGAAAAATGATAGCTCACTTAGGTGAAATTTACACTTGAAATACACAAGTATAATAAAATATGCAAAAATGTCACAATAACAATATATGATAATTCTTTTGGAAAATAATTTTAGAAGCATAAGATTTAATGACGTTTACCCTTAAATTTTATGTCATGTATTTAGTTAAGATATGAAACTTATTAGCAATACTCAGAGGTTATAAGCCAAATACTAAGAATTTGGAAGTAAGATTATCTCAGAAATCAATGCAGAATAGTTGAGAGCAGAAATATGTAACTTGAACTTAGAGGCATTCTACATTTTCCAAAAGCTCCCTGATTCTTTTCCCTGTCACAGATCTTTATTTCTCCACTTCCTAACCTGAGACAAAACATTCTAGCTCTGCAGTCAGTAAATGCCCAGATCTTCAAATTTTCAAATGTTTCCTCAGCCAGGATGAAGCCTGGTTTATCCTAATGACACTGATTCTCTGGGTGCTGTCACCTTAAATTTCAACAAGTTTAAGCTCCAACCCATATCCCTGTTGTGTCTTCACATTCATGCATTCATCTCCTTTTATACAGGAATTCTTTGGACATCTCACAAGTGCCTTAAATGTAAACATTAAAAAAACTGAACTCATGATCTTGCTCACCTTTCCAATTCAATTTTAATTGCCATACTAGCTCCTCACCCTTTCTTTTTATTTTGGAATATAACACTACCATTCACCCAGCAGTTCATGGCAAAGTTTTGGGGGTTAGTTTTGACAGTAGTTTGTCCTGATCTAATGTGTCACCACATCTTGTTGGTTCTAGGTCCTAAATTCTCTTGACTTCATCTCCTGTTCTTCATCTCTTCTGCCATCATTATTGTACAAGCCATTGTTATGGTTCATCTAGAGCACCACAATAGAAGACCACAAATTATTCTGTCTTCCTCAATCTCCTCAATTTTTGCTTCTTCTCCATCTGTTCTCCTTAAATAAATTGAAGGGCTTTATAATAAAAACACAAATACAATGATATCACCACCATGGTTACCTATCAACCGCTTCCCTTTGCTTTTAGGGCAAAAGGAATATTTTAATATGAGCCCCAGGGCCTTTCTGCCCTGGTGCAAATCCACTTCTCCACATTTACCTCTGCCACTCTCCCTTTACCTCTCCTTGCTTCAATTATGCTTGTCTACTTTGTGTTCTTAGAAATGGCGTGCTTCTTTCCGCTTCAGACGTTTGCATATTCACTCCCCTTTGACTCATCTTGTTCTCCAGGTAACGGCATATTTAGCTCCCTCATTTTCTTCAGGTCTTTGCCACATGTCTCCTTCTCAATGAGGTAGTCATTGACCACACCTTTGCACTCCCCATTCCCCTTCCATGGTTCCTCCTTAGCACTTAATTACCATAAGATACAGATACACCATACACTTTAATTACATATTGGTATGTCACCCGTCTCCCACCACAAGAATTCAAGCTTTTTGGGACAACGAATCTGTTTTATTTGCTCACTGCCATATCCTTCACACGTAGAAGAATACCCATCAATGAGTAAGCCCTCAATACATACTTATGATGATTAATTCATGTAATTTAATTCTCCTGATGACAGAAAGTTCATATTTTTACCTCTATTTTAAAGATAAGGAAACTGACTGTTAAATTCAGGCAATGAGAAAGTGGCAGAGCAGAGATTAGAATCTCAAGTGCTAGGCTACAAGTACTCTGGTCTCATGCCGAGACATGTGCTTGCATGGATTGGGAGTGGCAGAAGAGAAAATAATTTCCTTAGTAGAATGGTTATTAATTTTATAGACATTCTTGGGGCACTCCCTTTCCTAGTTTCTATTTAGTTTAAATGATGTACCTTATAGATGAAACAGAAATCAGTATTAGATACCTTGCCACTGGTGGATTTCTGCATTTAATTAGCCATATATGTGGTAAAATTTAGTTGACCTGAGCAGCATTTTCAGCCTTGAAATATTGAGATACAGGAAACATTTTCATTTGATGCACTACAAATTTGGATGCTCACTTTTTCAGTTCAACACATTCTAATAGGTGTAAATTGCTCTAAAATGGGATTCAGAATGTGTCTTATCCCCAAATATTGTTAACTTTTAAAATAGACTTTTCCTTAAAAGGACAAAATTTTCCTTGTTAGAAACAATGTTATAAAAGTGAAACTCTGGAAACTGAATACTTAATTCTATATTCAAAATAATACTGAAATCCCAAGAAATACCAAACACTGACACAGTTGTCATCACAATGAGTACTACCACAACAACTGCTACAGCAAATACATTATTTCCTTGAACAAATTGGGTATATTTTCTCAAACACAAGACCACAGTAGTCATAGCCACCAAGTTAAAGGTTGTTAATCTGAAACCTTAATTAATCTTTGGTCTACTATAATATTCAGTTGTATTGGGCAGAATAATGGCCCTCTGAAGATGTTAGTACCCTAATCCCTAGAACCTATGAATATATTAAGTCACATAGCAAAGGAAAATTAAGGTTACAGATGAAATTAAAGTTTCTAATCAAGTGACCTTGAGGAGAGTAGATTATTTTGAATTACCCATGAAGTCCTAAGTCCTAATCACAGAGTTTCTCATAAGTGGAAGTAGAAAGCAGAAGAAGGTCTGTATCAAATTAATGCAAGTGTCCATTTTTGGCTTTGAAGATGAAAAATGGAAAAGTCAAAAAATATGTGGAGCTTCTAGAAGCTGGAAAAATAAAAAAAAATAATTTTCCCATGGACAATCCAGAAAGAATGCAGCTCTACCAACACCTGGCTTTTACTGGTATGACATTTCTGACTTCTGATGTTCAGAACTGTAACATTTTGGCATTTTAAGCTATTAAGTTTGTGATATGTTATTACAGCATCAATAGAAAATGAATACATTGATTTTTAAAGTATAACCTGAAATTACACTCAGAACTTTTGTTGTGGTGATTGTTATTGTCATTTTGGCATACAGAACTTTTAAATTTTATGTACTATTTTAGAGGAGAAGCACTAATAATATATATCTAGAATTAAGTCTGTAATTTTTTCAGAAAAAGACTCTATTACTGCAAGCAAAACTCCATGTCTAATGTCTGAAGACATCCATACACCTGCCCATAGTTTTCTCTACAGAATAGTGACTTCTATTCCAGGTCTGTATAAAACATAATCTCTTCTAATGGAAGCTCTTTGGTAGGAAAATCAGGGAAGTGTTTTCCATCCTAATGGTCTTGTGGTGAGAGCCCTGAAGGAGTGGGTAGCTGGATATCAACAAGCTTTATTGGAAATACTAGTTGTTTGACTTTGGGCACATTATGTAATGATTTTTATCTGTAAAAACTTGACAATAATACTATCTACCATGTATATTTGTATGGATTAAAGGAAATTATTCACTGAGATAAAGTCTAATACACAGAAAAAGATTAACATAGCTTAACTATTTTATTTTAATTTCAGAAGATACTATTAAAATAGTAACACATGCAAGAGTCAAGTAGACCTGGACTTAAATCCTGATTTTTATATCATCTATTATTTGAGTACATTTGTCAAATTACTGAATCCTATAATCATTACATTCCTCAGTCATAAAATGTAGACACACCTGTGAGGTAATACAAAGCTGGTGCATAAATTATAAACAAATTGAAGTCACTGTTATTATTAGGAATCATTATCACAAATAATAAGGCCAGGCACAGTGGTTCATACCTGTAATCCTAGCATTATGGGAGGCTGAAGCAGGAGGATCACTTGAGTCCAGGAGCTAGAGACTAACCTAGGCAACACAGCAAGACACTGTCTCTGCAAAAAATTAAAACAAAAAACAAAAAACAAAAACGTTAGCCAGGCATGGTGGCATGTGCCTGTAGCCCCAGTTATTCAAGGGGCTGAAGCAGAAGGAATCATTTGAGCCCTGGAGTTCAGGGCTGCAGTGAAACATGATCATGTCACTGCCCTCCAGCCGGGGCCACAGAGTATGACCTTGCCTCTGAAAAAAAAAAAAAAAAAGAAAAAAAAAAAAGAAAAGAAAGATAGAAATAATAACAATAATGATAAATTTAAATGTAATAAATATTTTCTGATTATATAAATTATCTATCAAAAGATGAAAACCGATATAAAATACATGGTGTGAAGCAAGGCTGTGATTACATTATAAATCTAGCTATATCTTGAGAGGGGATGTTATAGAAATAGAAAAAAATAATTTATGAAGGGCATTTTCTTCCTGCTCCAATCCCAGTCAAGAAACATTGTTAAATGCAATTGACTTGAAACCTGGGCTTGCTATTGTGGTTAGAGTATGATAAAAACACATCATAAAAATTAATCATCTTTAGAATGTCTAGTACAATATTTTAAAGATATTAGAACCAAATTCATATGCAATTGTCTATAATTTAAATAAAATACAGTGCATTGCCATTTGCAAATCAAATAAAATAATTAGAAAAAGGAAAATATTTTAAGTCACCCAAAATTACATCACCCAGAAATAACTGTAATTTATATTTGATGAACATCATTCTGGAGATCTCAATATTTATATATAGTGAGAAACACCAAAAGCTGTTTTTGATAGAGAATTTAATTTTCAGTGCTAAGGCCAGAGAAAAATATTCCAAAAGCTTTTATACCCTTATTTCTGTTCTTCTTATATATTTTATAACTAATATTATTATATAACAATATATAGTCTTCTATTTATAGGAGTTACCACACTACAGCTTCATCTGAAATTATCATGTTATAACGATCTGGTTAGAATATTTGTTTATTTTTGGAGACAGGTTTATTTAATTCTTATCTTTCTAGAAACTGAAAATTTATAAGCCTCTTCCTGAGTTTCCAAGTTCCAAATTCTATACATACAAACTACAAATGAAAAATTTAGGTGAGCTCTTTCAGACCCACATTAATGTTATTAAAGGAGCAGACACAAATGAAGTTGAGGGAAACTGCGCTGAACTCTTGATGCTGTGTAGCAAGCTGTGATCATACCCCAAATAAATGCCTCCCCTCCATGTGACTTCCATCATGTGTATGATTAAAATTTGTGCCACCGCAAAGTTGTAAATTACAATGCCATAGACCAACCTAGTCGCTCATGAATTGTCCAAACCAAGAATGCAAATGAAAAGCTTTATGACATCTCATTTCAGATATTTATATTTGCACTTCTGACTTGAATTTCAAGGAATTCCTTTGAATTATTTAAAGAAGGCTATAACTCTTACTTTTCAGATTGCCTGAGAAAGATAAAGCTGCTCTTGCTGACTTGATAAAAATCATTTTTCTGAGCTTGCGAGACTGTTGGGCAGCTTAGATAGTTAAAAAAGGCAGCACTAACTTGTGGCTACACATATTTCACTTCTCTGAATTACTGTAGGAGTATTTCTCTTTACTAAATATTTTTTAAATTTGCATTTAAATTTTAGCACTATAAACTATCAAAAAATTGTAATTATGCTTGAGATTAGAGTCTGCTAGCTCTGAGATTAGTATCTGTATGTTTTGAATTTTTAGAAACTGTTTTGACATAGTTGCCTTACATTTTTGCTTTGCAGAAATGAGAGTTTCAGTAGTGTAAAGAATTGCAGAGCAATGATCAATTGCCAGAAGCCACACATCAGAGGGATCGGCAGTGGAGTCTTTGTTCTGTCTGGAGAAGGGCTGGCTAGACAAATACTCATGTAATTTTCTCATGTGACTTTTGTAACTGGGAAGGTGTTGATACCTTCAACTGAGATATTGAGATGATGAAGTGGGGAAATGGGGGAAATGTCATAGTATAGAAGAGAAGTTGCTGGACAGATAATTTAGCAGACAATTACTACAATTAGCAAGCTTCCTTTAATTTTTTTTCATCGATATGCAAGGAAGGAGAGGTTTAGGTAGAAGGTAATCAAGCATCTTGTCCAGTCACATAGCTAGAAGTGAAGTTAAATATTCAAACCCAGCTATTTCTGGCTTAAAAGCCAACTTTTTACCCAGGATGCTGGTTAAAATTATACTTGTTAATGAAACAACCTCTGAATAGAATATAATATTAAAAAAATGACCTAAGAATAGAACTTGGAAACTTCAATATTTAGGACTTGGGAGAATAGAAGGACCTTTCAAGATCGTTATAGTTGATATGAAGAAACAGAATCACTGTCTAAAGTCAAAGGGAGTAAACAATCACAAGTTGAAATGAGGAAAAAAAATTAGAGAGGCACAGTAAATAGAAAAGTCAAGTATTTTATCCAACTTCAATAATGAAATGATGAGGTGGAGAAGAAAGTGGACTGAAAGACAAAAGATTCAATCGAGTCTAAACTGTATCACAAGCTTCTCTGAGAATTAGCATTTTCAAACTCCACATGAGCAGTTTCCATACAAAACCATTCTGCTCATCTTTATCAAGTTCATAATAAGCGAAGAGAAATTCAAAAAATGACTTAATTTCATTAACAGTAAGAGACCTGCAAAAATGCATAAATAACTTAACTTCAAATTAGACCTATTTTATAGCTAGTCCTAATGGTTAACACCTTCTTTTACATTCTGCGCAGTTAATGTATTTCAATATAAATACAGCATTTGTAATGTAATGTTCATCTATATCAGAAGAAGAGAAAAATGTAAAGAAATTATAATGAAGGAAAAGAAAAAAAGGAACTGAAATGCCCGGAAGGAGGCTTCATTTTCTTTTTGGATTAGGATATTTGTTTTATATTAATATTGCTAATATTAATTTGTTCATGTTTATTTATATTAATATTGTGAATATTCATATATTAGCAATGTTTGAGAAAGTTGATTTTGTACTTAACACGCAAATGCTTAATAGAAATATTGAACAGAGATATTTAAGATAAAATTTCAATAGTACTGAATGAACTGCCATGTTAAAACACTAATAATTAGATTAGTCATTAATATTGAAAATGATTGAGAATCAAAATTGTTATCTTTTGGGGTGTATCTGCTATGATCAGGTTTTACAATAAAAGTAATTTCTAATTATTGCTTATGTCATTCTTATTTGCAATAACATATTATACAATGCTAAATTAGATATATAGAATTAATTTATTAAAATATTTAAGACAAAATGATCATTTTTTGTTTTTTTATTCCGTAATAAAATGTGATAGCTTTTTAACTTTTGATCCTAAAACACAAGAACAATTGTCTAGTCTAATATAGCTACAAAAATTATAAACGATGGTTAGTCAAAATACTTATCAGGAGATGATCCTGCAAAAAAATGTAAGAAATTTTATGTATAAACCTCTTTATGAAGATTAAAAATTTAATTAATACAAAATGTACTGTGAAATTCTGAAACACTGAAATCTACATAAATTAGTTTACACAGTGATTTCCAAACTTGTTTGTTTATAAAATGTATTTTCTATAACATCATCAGTGAAACTATTGTCTCAAAGAATATAATTAGTAAAGTATTGGTATCTTCTCCTTCTTAAATTTTACTTATTCTCAGATTTTAGTTGTATACATTTTTCAGGAAGCAAGGTACTCCATTTTCTGAAACATCTTATTTTATTTCCAAGATTACACAAATTATTTTCACAGTCATATATGACAAACCCTATAATTATGATTTTCTATGGCTACAATTATATCATGATTGAAATAATTATTTTACAATACAGTATAAGCATATTTTATTAAATATACTACTTTCTATTTTTAAAAATAAAAGATTAAGACTTCATATTTCTGAGTTATATAGCAAACTACTAATATATTTTGAATTAAAATCTATTATTCTTCTTTACCATTGAATATTAGATAATGCATTTCATCTGTTAGACTCAAATGATTCCCTGAGAAATAAAAACAATAATTTCACTCTGACTCTGAATGTTGTTTTGGAAATTTGTTACAATATGATATATATGAAGAGTCATATTCACTGGGCATACACATATATTTCCAATAGTGCTTCTTTTGTAACAAAGGAAGAAATCTATTTTAAAAGAGTAAACTTTTAAACATTTTCAGGATTTCTGAAAGAGAAGTTTGATTGTGCTGTCTTCTAGCTCTACCTCTAATGTGTGTTTGTTTCTAGGATAATTTAACCATGGATTATTTTCCCACCTTTTCTCTCTCCCTCTCCCTCTCTCTCTCTTCTAAGGAGCATATTTCCAAACCAGCAACCCTCAATCTGTCATTAGGAAAAGCTAATATTACTTCCATATATGACCAACGTTTTCCAAAATTTAGAAAATAATATACAAATAAATAAATGTTAATAAAAATAATTTTAAAGTATTTAAAGTACTTTATAAAATTGCACTTTTAAGTTATGTTTGTTACTAATCAAAAAAAATATTTATCAACATCATAGAGCCACATTAGTTTAGATATTCTAACAAACTGAAACATTCCTTGGGATTTGGTAATAAAATACTGGTCAATAAATATGACCATATTGTTACTGAAAACAAAATATACATGGTCTTTATATTTTATTTGTTCTATAATATAACAGCATTGTTCAGGGACAATCAGGTCTAGCTATTCTGTTCCATAGCCACATAAAGCTGTGTATTGTTTAATATTCAGAAAGTTCATGTGTTTCTGTGTGCCCATGAGCATCCCTGCTTTTGAAATTACTTACAAGTGGACCATGGGAAAAGGTCTGACCTTGTAATCTCCTCATGGGATGTCTGGGCAAGAGTATAAGATTAAATTGTATTTCTAATTTGTATATATAAATTGAAATTACAAGCAGAAATCTAACCAGGAGTTTAGAAACTGGTTATAAACACATGGAATGTGGTTGTATTCATCTCTATATACCTAGTTCCTCAAACTCTGAATTGGAGTTTGAGGAACTAGCTCTCTGAGAAATGAATGCATTGAATAGACATGATACAGTCTAAATCATGATAATAAGGAACTATATATTAGAGGACATTTACCAAATAAATGGATTTTTAATTTATCTTGGAAGCAGTAATTCACACACTCATCTATAAATATTTACAAATTCTATTCTTCACTTTTCTGCAAGTCTAAAACTGTTATTTCTAGAAGAAATATATATCATTTGTGAGGGTCCTAAAATGTTGACATTTATAAATATTTATAAATAGATTGACATAAGAAGTTTAATACTCTTACCATAATACCATAATACCATATCACTAATACCATCATACATAGTGATTATGGTTTATGTATACTGAATACAAAAGAAAAGAGAAGGAAAGATTCACATAGAATATAATAATTATTTTCTAAAGAAAAGAGAAATAAAATTGAGTATTCTGGAAGAAGGTGAACTGAAAATGTAAAGGAAATATAAAGGTTCAATCCCATATTTATTAAAAAGTGAAGTAGAAACAAGTAGTAAATAAAGACTATAATGAGGTCGAAGCAAACAGTGAATGGCACATACAAATTCATTAAACATCAACTGAATGCATCTATTAATGTATGATAGTAACTTCTGATAATTTTAGCAAAAAAAAAACTTAAAGGATATACACAAACCAAGAAATGATCAAGTACAGAACTCTCCAAGCTCAATTGTTAATTTGTATAAAATTTCCTTTTATATAAATTATGAAGCAGAAAAACAATAGACTGATTTTGAATAGTCACCAGAAAGCAATATAAAAATAATTAATACATTTCAGTTACAATTAACAAATCATAAATTGAAGATGGTGGGTAAAAACGTAGGATAAATTTGAAGATATTAAAAAATATTGTCTAGAAATTCATTTTCCAAGGAAACTCAGCATATTTCAATAAAATGCAATTGATATTCTACACAAAATAGGGCATTAAGGACAAAGCAAAACACCATATACTATCTCTCAATTAATAAATGAAACTTTTGAATTTTTCATGCAAGAGAATACTCACACAATGTTGTAGAAAGAAGAGATTGTTAAGATGTTAATCAACAGGATGACAAGTGAAAACTGAGTAGAAATTGAAGTAGGAAGAGGGCATGAAGTCACTGGGAAAGAGAAATATCCAACTGAGATCCGCTTATGGATGGCCTTAAATTTTACATAATCTTTGACATAGCAATACCACTCCTGAGAATTCATTGTGAGAATATGAAGCAAATAAAATCAATGTTAAATAAGAGTTATACACATTTTTAAAAATATAAGTAATATTTAAACATCTTGAGGCCTTAAGCGAAGAAAAACTCCAAATATTATGTATATAACAATTAAATTTCATGCATATGAAAAAATTCTGGAAGGAAAAGTTAAATATTTAACTTAACTATATATATATGCAAATTTGTTTGACAGATTGACAGATACATAAACTATTTTGATTTGTAATATATTTTGGGAGTCTAAAATTTTTATATTCAATGTATTGCATGCTCATTACAATAGAAATTGATAAAAGTAGGTACCGCTATAATTCTTTCATCTGGAGACAATCACAATTATTTTTTAATACATTTTTATTTTAATCACATTGTAGACAGATGATAGGTAAATGACATATAGATAGAATTTTTCTTTTTATATCTTGTGCACAGGAACTATGAACAACCTATTGCGTTCTGTATTTTATTTACCATATGATAATTATTTTTCAGTTTCATTAAAATTTTCATGTTTAGTGACTGCATATTATTTTTAAATTTTCCTCTTTTCATCAAGATTTAAGTTTTGTCCATTGTTTTCTTCCTTTTTATGTTGTAAAATACCCCATTTTAGCCTGAAATGTCAAGCTAATGGTTCCAGGAATCTTGCTTGAACAAATAGGTTTTTTTTCCTTAGCTCTTGGGTGAAAAGAATATATAGGCAATGAAGAGTTGGAGAAAATGGAAGATAACATGGTGTTTATATCCAATCCCAGCCATCAGGACAATAGGGCATTTGAACCAAGAAATAAATAAATAACTGGAAGAAGGTAACCATGCAATAATCCTGGAGTAGCCTGGAACAGTGGAAGCATTGAGATGAGAACAAGTGTGTGGTGTTTAGTATTGAAAAGGCCAGTGTGTTTAAGGCAAGCATAGGCCATTTCAGGTAAGGTATTTCGGGCTGTAAATATGAGAACATATTTATTCCAGCAGTAACGCAAAACAAAGGAAGGATATAATCTGATTCGTATTTAAAATAGTGTGGCTACATGTGATGATTACTTAAACATTTGGATAAATATACATAGAGGTAGAAATCTTTTGAAATTGTAATTAAAGCAGAATCACTTATTCAAAAAGAAAAAAACAACACTCAAGCATGTACAGATGTTGGAAAGGAGATATACTTCTTCCTCTAAAACAACCTGTAAATTAGTAAGTATTTTTGCCTAATAGTTCCTAATTTATCATCATGACCCACAAATATAGTTCAAAAGAAAAAGAAATAAGTAGTTTAAAATTATAGTTGAACAAAAAACATTCCTTAGCAGTTGGATAATATCTGAGTACCCTATAAAATTTATTATAATAAAAATAAGAAACAATTAGAAATACACACATAAATTAACGACTTACTTCCTAGGTGGGGAATTGAACCTTGACTACTGAGCTACAGCATGGGACTGTCTCTAGTTCCTTCCCCAGAAGGAGTCTAGAGTAGTTAATTCTGAGCTTGAAAGGCTTTCAACATTTAATATGATTTTTAGACCTAACTATGACATGAACTCTAAAATTCCTGTTCCCTGGAAGGTGGAGAAGAAGAGAAATTACCGCCACCTGGTTAAAAGGTCAAGCTCCCAAGGACATAAAACAAAGCGAAGACTTCATCCAGTTTTTTTTTTTTGTTTTGTGTCAGAGGCCTGCAGCCAAGTTTGTTACTGACCAGCTTGCTGGGTCATCTTGAAAAGCTGACTTACAGGTGTTCTAAGTCCATGTTTTATTTTACAGAAAAACGAATTCATAGCACAAAATACACCAGCGTTAAGACGAGCCTTAAATTCTTTTTCTCTTTAATCAAAACATTACAGAGGAGATAAACACTGATTTTTTCTTTCCATTCATTCAACCATTTGCAGAGAGAGAGAGAAGCCAAAGATCTGACTGGTAAGAAATTCTTACCCTTTTCCAGGCATGCCAGCGTTCTGGGTTCCCTTTCCCTGAGCGGCCCTAGTGATCTTGCTTGCGGCACCATTGCCCTGGGGGCCAAGCCACATCCTAAAGGATTTTTTGTTTGTTTGTTTTTTGTTTTGTTGTTGTTGTTCTGGCCAAAGCAAAACATGTGATAAAATATAGACATTAGCCACTCTGCTTAGCATCCAGTATCAAACTGGCAAGGCTTAAATTTGCCCTCAGATGGACCCCATCATCTTTAATCCAACCTCCAACTAGGAGTTACAACACGAGGTCTCTGGACAAGATGGTCGCCCTGAGTAATAGAAAAAGATAAGAAAGGGAAAGGAGAGAGAGAGAAAAGCACTGCTAAAACAGGTTGCAGTGAAGGAGCCAACCAAAATCCACCAAAATCAAAATGGCCACAAGAGTAACCTCTGGTCATTCTCCCGTTACACGCCCACCAGCGCCATGACAGTTTACAAATGCCATGGCAACATCAGGAAGTTACCCTATAGGGTCTAAAAAGGGGAGGCATGAACAAGGCACCGCTTGTTTAGCATATCATCAAGAAATAACCATAAAAATGGGCAACTAGCAGCCCTCGGGGCTGCTCTGTCTATGGAGTAGCCATTCTTTCATTCCTTTACTTTCCTAAACTTGCTTTCACTTTGCACTGCGGACTCGCCCTGAATTATTTCTTGTGCGAGATCCAGGAACTCTCTTGTGGGATCTGGATCGGGACCCCTGTCCTGTAACAAAATGAGGTCTTAGGGTGACCCCTAATCCATTATGACTGGTGTCTTTATAAAAGGGGGAAATTTGGATACAAGGACAGACATGCACATATCTACTACATAAAGGGAGAAAGTGATGTGAATATGATTGTAGAGATCAACGTGATGAACTTACAAACCAAAGAGTGACAAAGATAACCAGCAAAGGACAAGGATCTAGGAGACAGACATAAAGCAGATTCTTCCTCACAGCCCCAAAAGGGAACCAGTCCTATCATACTTCGATCTTGTATTTCAAATCTCCAAAAATTGTGAAACAATACGTTTCTGTTGTTCTGAGGTACCTAGTTTGTGACACTTCGTTGTAACAGTGCTTGGAAGCAAATATGATGTGTTTTTAAGAGGAAACAGTTGGGCTTTGTGACATAAATCACTGACAAATTATTTGTATGCACTCACCAGTCTTGCTATGCATATGTTCACCATTTAGATCATGCTCTTTAATTTCATTTTTAATTATTTTGGAGATATGACCTAGGGATCAGCGGCTTTTAGTAGCCGCCATAAATCAAAGAAAAGAATGTCATAAGTAAACAACAAATTAATTATGAATCTGTTTCTATATTATTGTTGTCCAGGTGTTTTATACTTTCAATATTATGCAACTATCAAAAATATTTTTTGATAGCCTACTATGCTCAGAATGGTACTAAAGCTTGAAATGATGACACTCCTTTTTCTTTTCATAGAAATGATGAGGCAGGACATAAAACCCTAACAGTTTATATGTACACAAATACCTAGCTATAACAGAGACAAATATTTACTTTCTACTCATGAAATCTCCTGTTGTCCCCACTAATTACCTATAATGTATCAGCAATTCACCTCAGAGGAGTAATCCACATCCATTTGGCTTACTTGAAAACAAAAAACAATCCTGGTAAGCAGGAACTAAATGCATTTTAATTTCCTAGAAAGCTGATCCAAAACATTTATTTTATAAATTTGATTATATTTATATGTTTTATCATGTTATAAGATAGTTTTCCATAATTTTGAATTCCATTTATTTTGTTTTACATACATTTTGCCAGTAAAAAGTAGAAATCAGGTACCCTTGACTATGGGATCCCGGGAGGCAGTGAGCAGTAAAGACAAGAAACTGAGAGGGGAGGGGAATTGGAGCGCCATGGTACAGTCAACCTGCCTATATTTGTTTCTTTCCAAAAAATTTTTTTTGTATATTCCCTGTGATTTTTTCATTGTTATTAGTTAAAACAAGAGAGTAAGAAGGGGATGCTTTTCTTATATATCCTCAAAAGTTAAAAATATAATTGTAATAAGGCTAACATGATTCTATTCTATTTTACATATAAAAATTCATGAAAAATATATAGTGATAGTTATATACAATTTTGATACAGGTAAGTACAATATTCTGATGTCATTATGTTGCTTTAAAATATTTAACAGATTATTAACTGCTTCTGCCTATATTCTATATGTTCAGCAGAACATGTAAGGCCCTTCTTAGCATGGACTACACCTCTCTATTCTTTATCCTCTCTTCCTGTTATACACACATACACACGCCCACACCCCTCCATAAACACATATTGTTGTAGCCATTTTTTATTTTTTCTCTTTTTTTGAGACGGAGTCTCGCTCTGTCACCCAGGCTGGAGTGCAGTGGCACCATCTGGGTTCACTGCAACATCTGCCTCCTGGGTTCATGCCATTTTCCTGCCTCAGCCTCCCCAGTAGCTGGGACTACAGGCGCCCACCACCACACCCGGTTGTTGTAGCCATATTTTTGAGAGAATATATTTATTTTGGAGTTTTCCAATTTATTGGCATAAGGGGTTCATAATATACTCTTATTACTTAAAAATGAGACTTTACTTTTTAGAGAAGATTTAGAGTTACAGAAAAGTACTTTAAGTGGAAAGTACTGAGTTTCCATATACTCATTTCCCTCCCCACGACTGCCCCACACTCACAACAACCATATAGTTATTATTATTATTATCATCTTGCTTAGTGCGGCACATTTGTTACAACTGATGAATCAATATTGTTACATTATTATTACCTGAAGTCATTACCCTTAGCTAACAGGGGACATTCTTTGTGTTGTACATTCTATGGGTTTTGAAAAATGTGTAATGTTATCTGTCTACTATTACAGTATCACACACAATTTCACTACCCTAAAAATCCCCTATGACCCACACCTGCTCATCTCTTCCTTCCTCTCCCCCCAAAACCCTAAGAACGATTGATATTTTTACTGCCTTTTCCGGAAGGTCAAATAATTGGAATTACATAGCGTTTAGCCTTCCCGGATTGGATTCCTTCACTTAACAATATGCACTCAAAGTTCATTCATGTCTTTTTTTATTGCTGAAAAATATTTCATTGTATGGATGTACCACAGTTTGTTTATCCATTCATCTTTATGAAAGGACATGTTGGTTGCATCTAAATTTTTGCAAGTAGGAATAAAACCACTATAAACATTGGTGTGCAGGTTTTTGCATGGACATAAGTTTTCATCTCATTCGAATAAATACCAAGGAATGTGATTTCTGGATCACATGGTAAGAGCATGTTTAGTGGTGTAAGAAAATGCCCACAGTATTCCAAAGTGATACCATTCTGCATTCCCACAAGAAATGAATAAGTTTCTGTTGTTTTACATCCTGCATTTGTTGTTGACAGTGCTTTGGATTATAGCCCTTACAATGGGTGAATAGTGGTATCTCATTGTTATTTTGATTTGCAACTCTCTAATGACATATGATGTTAGGATTTTTCTAATGCTTATTTGCAATTGGTATGTCTTCTTTGGTGAAGTGAATGTTCAGATTTTTTTCCAATGTTTAACTAAGGTTTTTTTAAGTTTAAAAAGTTATTTGTATATTTTTATACTTGTCCTTTATCAGATATGTGTTTTTCAAAGATGTTCTTTCAGTATGTGTCTTGTCTTTTCCCTCACTTAACATTGTCTTTTGCAGAGCAGTTTTAATGCTAACAAAGTCTAATTTATCACTTTTTTCTTTAATGGATCATCCTTTTGGTTTTGTATATAAACAGTCACTTCCAAAAACAATGTCACCTAGAGTTTCACCAATGTTATCTTCTAAAAGTTTTATAGTTTTGTATTTTAAATTTAGATCTGTGATTCATTTTGAGTTAATTTCTGTGAAAGATATATAAACTTGTGACTAAATTGTTTTGGTTTGTTTTCAGATTCCAGTTGTTCCAAGTTTGTTGAAAAGACTATTCTCCACTGAATTGCCTTTGCTCACATTGTCAAATATCAGCTGACTATATTTGAGTGTGTCAATTTCTTGCTGTTCTGTTCCTTTGATATATTTGCCAGTTTTTTCAGCAGTACCACACTATCTTGACTTCTGTAGATTTATAGTATATTTTGAAATTGGATTGCACCATTCCTCCAACTTTATTCTTCTCTTCAATATTGTATTGGCTATTCTAAGTCTTTTGCTTCTCCATATAAACTTTGGAATCTGTTTATAAATATATAAAGAAAAAATTGTTGGAATATTTATTGGGATTGCATTGAGTCTGTAGATCAAATTGGAAAGAAGTGACTTTTTTTTTTTTTTTTTCTCTTGAGACGGAGTCTCGCTCTGTCACCCAGGCTGGAGTGCAGTGGCGTGATCTCGGCTCACCACAAATTCCGCCTCCCGGGTTCAGGCCATTCTCCTGCCGCAGACTCCCGAGTAACTGGTACTATAGGTGCCCGCCACCACACCTGGCTAAATTTTTGTATTTTTAGTAGAGACAGAGTTTCACCATGTTAGCCAGGATGGTCTCGATCTACTGACCTCGTGATCCGCCCGCCTCGGCCTCCCATAGTGCTGGGATTACCGGCGTGAGCCACCGTGCCTGGTCAGAACTGACATTTTAACAATATTGTCTTCTTATCCATTAACACAGGATACATCTCTATTTTGTTAGACCTTTTTTTTCTTTCTTTCTTTCTTTCTTCTTTTTGAGACGGAATCTCTCTCTGTCACCGAGGCTGGAGGGCTGTGGCGCGATCTCGGCTCACTGCAAGCTCCGCCCCCTGGGTTTACGCCATTCTCCTGCCTCAGCCTCCCGAGTAGCTGGGACTACAGGCGCCCGCCACCACGCCCGGCTTTTTGTATTTTTAGTAGAGACGGGGTTTCGTCGTTTCAGCCAGGATGTTCTTGATCTTCTGACCGCATGATCCGCCCGCCTCGGCCTCCCAAAGTGCTGGAATTACAGGCATGAGCCATCGCACCCAGCCTTTTCTTTCTTGAGAGATTTATAGTTTTCTTCATATAAAATTTTATTTGCCATATATATATGTTAGTATCTCATTTTTGTGAATATAAATGGTTTATGTTTTCTGGGATTTTTGGTTGTTGTTGTTTCTTTTGGAAAAGGTCTCACTCTGTCACCCAGGCTGGAGTACAGTAAAGTGGTCATGTCTCACGACAGCCTCCACCTACTTGGCTTCGGAGATTCTCCCAGTTAGCTGGGACTAGGGGCGTGCACCACCATGCCTGGCCAATTTTTTATTTTTGGTAGAAACTGGGTTTTGCCATGTTGCCTAGGCTGTTCACGAGCTCCTGGACTCAAGCTATCCACTTACTTTGGCCTCTCAAAGTGCTGGGATTACAGGCATGAGCCACCATGCCTGGCCAGTATTATGTTTTTAATTTTACATTCCAATTGTTTATTTTTGGTATGTAAGAAGCAATTGGCCTTCGTGTATTAAACTTTTATCCTGTCGTCTTGCTATAAACACTTACTAGTTCCAGGAGACTTTTTATTGATACTTTACATATCTGATACTTTTGATATTTGATACTTTTATTTATAGACAATCACATTATTGTGAACAAAGACAGTTTTATTTCTTCCTTCTAAATCTGTATACTTTTATTTTATTTTCTTGTTTTATTGCATTAGCCAGGACTTTCTGTATGATAAATAGGAGTGGTGAAGTAGCCATCCTTGCTTTGTTTCTCACTTTAATGGGAAAACTTCATTTCTTCACCATTAAGTATGATGTTATATGCAAGTATTTTTCTTCTTTTTTTTTCCTTTACCTGTGCTTTATCAAGTAAGAAGTGGTCCCCACTATAACTAGTTTTCTTTAAAGTTTTTTTTTAATCATGAATAGGTGTTTGATTACATAATTCTTATCTACAAATTCACCTTAAAATATAAAACTGAATTATCTCTAAGTAAGCTTATATTTAGTTTTGAGCCATTACTTTGGCTGAGTTCAAAACACTATTCCCAACAATTTCAGTTTCTGTCCTCTCCAAAGCTGGATCTATGTTTGCAAGACTGTCATGGTATGAAGGCATTTGTAAGTGGATCTGTCTGGTAATAGATGTCATCTGTCCCTTTAGCCATCAGCTCAATCAGCCACCTTTCCTTGGTCTTGGTTGAAGAGAGTATCCCCGTAGGTGCTTTTTATTCCTCTCATTTGGTTTGTTGAGATCTGTTTAGTCTCTATGATAGTTTGCTATGTTTAAAAACATAGGAGTCATTCTGCTTCTTCATTTCATACTAGGACATGGAAAATGTCTGTAAGGTTTTCTTTGGATACATTCCAAATACAATAAACTGTTTTGCTTCTTGAGGTCTATTTGAGGATCTGTTGGGCAGGCCATCAAATTGGAAATTGGGAAAGGATTTCTATGTTACAGTCTTAAGGCAGAATGTCTTCGTCTCCAATTGATATGGTTTGGCTTTGTTCCCACCCAAATCTCATCTTGAATTCTCATGTGTTGTGGGAGGGACCCGGTGGGAGGTAATTGAATCATGGGGGCAGGTCTTTCCTGTGCTGTTCTCATGATAGTGAGTAAATCTCATGAGACCTGATGGTTAGTATAAGGGGGAGTTTTCCTATCTAAGCTCTCTTTCCCTGCTGCCATCCATGTAAGATGTGACTTGCTCCTCCTCACCTTCCGCCATGATTCTGAGGCTTCCCCAGCCACGTGAAAGTGTGAGTTCTCCATTAAGCCTCTTTCCTTTGTAAATTGCCCAGTCTTGAGTATGTCTTTATCAGCAGTGTGAAAATGGGCCCATACGCCAATACACTTCAAATTTAGCTCTTAACACCTTTCAATTATTGGATGAGGACCATTCACATTATTAAGAGTAGTCTTATTTACTGAATGTCAATTCATTGTTAATCACATCTACAAAATACCTTCACAGCAACAATATAGACTAGTGTTTTGCTAAACAACTGAGTACCATAGCCTAGCCAAGCTGACACATAAATTTAACTATCAGTCCTTAAAATTTCTTATAAAACTCCCTGCAATATTTTTCAATATAACATTTTCTTTCTTAACTTAAAAAATGAAATGTATTTTAAATTGAAATATGCTACTTTATAGAACTGACAAAATCCTGTAATACCATTATTCTTTCTGCCTAAAATACCCTTCATCTTTTTTAATCTTTTCATTTTAAAGAAATTATTTTTAAAATTTATAATTGAAACATAATAATTGTACATTTTTATGGGTTACATAATGATGTGGCCATAAATATAATGCATTTGTTAAAGGATACAAAATTATAGCTAGGTAGGAGGAATAAGTTCTAATGTTCTATAGCACTGTAGGATGACTACAGTTAACAATAACAGTTTCAGATAGCTAGAAGGAGAGTCTTGAATGTTCTCAACACAAATAAATGAGAAATGTTTGAGAGGATGCATAGGTTCAATATCCTGATCTAGTCACTATACACATTATTTTCTAAATTTGAAACTGTTGATTCAGTTTTTGACTTTTTTCTGAAGAGAATCGTATTTTTAATTTATAAAATACTCTTGTTACAGGTTCTAAGAAACTTGGTAAACTCAAGGCCAATTCTGAGGATATAATTAATTCTTTTTTTTTTTGTATTGAATTCATAAATATTTTAGCTCAAATATTTCCTCCGGTACTTCTTTTTGCCCACACTCAGAGTGCCTTTCTTTCATATGTATGTTTTTACAAGACCAAATTTTTCAAGTAAGATTCTTAATTAATTATTCCTTTGAATGTTTGCCAAATTTAATTCTGCAAAATTATATAATTTTTCAGTGACTAAGCATTTTGAATCATTTTTATTTAAGAAATATATTTCATAACAATAAAATAAAACACTGTAGATAATAAAACATTATATAAAAAATAGACTATAATCTCTGTAGCTAAACCTGAGCCTTCGTTTCTATGACATATTTTATGTACTTCTGAAGTACATAAAGTAATTTCTCAATGTTATCTGGAGTTTTGTGTATTTTGTATGGCATAATATAGGCCACAGCATAAACTTCTATCACAGGAAGTTACTGGCAAGGGCAGCAGTATGGAATGCTCTTTACTTTAACACCTGAGACCAGAAGAGCTGGCTATCTCTAATGTAAGCATTTGCATCTGTGGACAATTCACTTTATCAGCAAGTACCTACTCGGTCTTTGAAAGTGCAACTTTTTCATTACTTTGTGTCTGTAAAACAAAGAAAAATTGATACAAGTTACAGTGGCTATCTTTCATATTAAAGCAGATATTAATGTGCAAATGCTGGTCACTGTACTCACACTCTGAATTGAAAACAAAAATTGGAAGCACAAAGTGGAGGTCTACAAAATTCTTTCTAGTATTTGTTAATGTACCTTTTAGTAATATAGTTTTATTAAATACATGGAAAATATTGGGACAAACACTAAGTGGGATGAGATGCTAAAACAACAATTTTTACCTTGAATTTTCCCAGGCAAACCAGAAACTAAGTTTACTCTAAATATAGGTGTAAGCTAGGTGCAGTGGCTTACGCCTATAATCCCAGCACTTTGGGAGGCTGAGGCAGGTGGATCATGAGGTCAGGAGATCGAGACCATCCTGGCTAACATGGTGAAACCCCGTCTCTACTAAAAATACAAAAAAAAAGCTGGGTGTGGTGGCTGGCGCCTGTAGTCCCAGCTACTCGGGAGGCTGAGGCAGCAGAATGGTGTTAACCCAGGAGGTGGAGCTTGCAGTGAGCTGAGATTGCGCCACTGCACTCCAGCCTGGGCGACAGAGGAAGACTCTGTCTCAAAAAAAAAAAAGTGTAGGTGTAAATCAGCATAGTGTATTGATTATGACTTTTTGGTTAAGTGACAAAACACAATCCAAGCTTCCTTATGCCTGTAATAATACATATGAATTAATCCGTTCCCATAACAGAAACATATAGAAAAAGATCTAAAGACTCAAGAAATGCATTCAATTCTTTATTTTTTTCTGCTTTTAATTTCCATTTTGCATTCCTGTTTTTCTCAGGTTTATTTCAGTGAGTTTTTCTCTGCATGACAGTAAAAAGATGTCATCAGTATCTTAACTTTTTTTTATACTTTTAGTTAAGAATCTCACAAAAAAACAGAAAACAGAAAAACAGAATATGTTTTTTATGGCAGAATATGATTTTATTTTATTAAAGAATTTTGGGAGATGAATGATGTACTCAATTTAAATCAGTTTACCATCCTTGAACAAATCAGTGTGATCAAGTAGATAGGACTTACTGAATAACTAGTTTGTTAAGTACCTAGACCAGTTTTGGGAAACCAGCACCATGTAATTGGTAGCCCAAATGGGTAGAAAAATAAAGTTCCCCAATGGAGGGGATGTTGGAGAGACCAAAAAAAAAAAAAAAAGCCAGATATTCACTATAGTGTAGTGGGGTGGAAAGGGGGGTGACTAGAAATTGGCCTCATTGGAGTGGAGAGTACATATTATACAAGTGGAGAGATGATTTTTAGATGAGGTGGGAAAGTATTAAGAATGGCTTTGAAATCCAAATTTAGATTAATAACAAGGAATATTCGCACCACTGCACTCCAGTCTGGGCAACGGAGTGAGACTCCGCCTCAAAAATAAATAAATAAATAAATAAAATAAAATAAAACAGGGAATACTAGCATTAAAAAGAAGAAAAAAATAATAATACTTTATAGACTTTTTTTTGGCAAAAAAAAAAAAATTATTTTTTCTGTACCAAAGAGTAATTAATACCGTGGTGACAGTTAAACAATGTTTTGTGTGATTCATATTCTAGGTCTGCCTATGAATTAAGGCAAGACAGTAGCAGGATAAATAAGTTATTTTAAGTTTCTTGATTCACTCTGGTTTAGTCTAATTTATGCTGCTATAGCAGAATACTTGTGAGAGCAATTTGTAAATAACAGAAATGCATTAGCTCACAGTTCTGGGGACTGGGAAATCCGAGGTCAAGGTACCACAGGTGTGGTGTCTGGTGAGGCCATTCTCTTTTTTCAAGATGGAACCTTGTGCTCTGCATTCCCTGGAGAGAAAGAAAGCTGGATGCTTATATGGCAAAAGGCAGAAGGGCCAAGAGAGAGCAAGAGGGGATTAAGCACAGTCTTTAATATAGCACCAATCCCACCCACGAGGGTGAAACTGTCATGACCTAATCACCTATTAAAGGTTCCACCTCCTAATTCGTTACAATGGCAATTAAATTTCAGCATGAGTTTTGGAGGAAACAAACATTCGAATTACAGAACTTTATTTTTTAACTAAGTATTTTTTTAACAAATTATGTTCATATATAATTATTGGGTATACCGTGATGTTATAATATGTCTACAGTGTGGAATGAATAAATCAAGAAAATTTGCATATCTAGCACCTTAAATACATATCATTTATTTCTTCTATATAACTGTAGTTTATGTATATACCTTATAGCATTTTAAGGATTTAGCAAGTTCAAACACTAAGAAATTAGGGGAGTGGTTATATATTTACTCAGTGTTCATGTAAAATGGGAAACATTGAGCTATGCAATATTCATACCTTGAAATCAGCTTTTATGTCTTCTTACTACTTGTAAATTTTGAAGACAAAAGGATTTATTTATATATTCATTTATTTCACTCTTTTGTTTAGTATGCTAATTACTTTTGAGGACATTCAGAAATGACCTTAACAATAGCAAGTAATTAGAAAGACAACAATACATTTGGTGAGAAAGGGTATAGAATGAACTATGACAGATATACACATTCATGGCAAAAAGGACAAGGTCATAGCAGTGAAAATCAAATACAATCCACAAATGGAATCTTCTTCAAAAAATAAAGCAGTAAAACAGAACTTTTGTAGAGAGTAGTAATTATCTACAGCACTTAAGGATAGGGAACAGATAATGTTTGAGGAAGATAAGTAGTAGAATGCTTTGATAAAGAATGAAGAATTAAAAAGTTTGAGGTATTTAAGTATTGCTGAAAAGGTATTTAAGTATTGCTTAAAAGGTTAAAAAAAGTGATTCATGAGGTGAGTCACAGATTTAAGCCTGGTTCAGTAATTCACAGTGTGATGTGGAGCAAATATTTCACCTCTTAATTGAACTCTGACAAAAAAAGTGGGAACGTGAAATGGTTCTTTAGGCCACACAGTTAAAATTATATTGTGATGAAATCTAGGTTCATGGTTAAAAAAAAAAAAGAAGTCAAACATGAGGAAAGTTGATGATTGGAATGAACATAAATGGAACCAAAGGATAATCCATTAGATGTGGAATACTACTGTCAAAATTTAGTAAGCTAAAGTCAATTCTGGAGATCTCAAGTCATGTTACATAAATTTTCATGTATTACATCCATTATTATTTAGGTATTAAAATAATATGATTGCTGACCCTTCAGGATATTTTTGGTTTAAAAGGAACACAAATTATTTTAAGAATTAGGGGGTTTTCATTCAGTCATCCAAATAATTATTTGAATTTATGAAAAAAATAGTTAAAGAATTCAGGAGAAATTGTTTTTAGAAAAGGGGATTATCTCTACCATTTAGAATAACATTATTTTCTAGAAGCTTATGATCAAATTAACATTTTTAAAGTACATATGTGGGTAATTCTAGACATTCTACAAGTGAATTATTTATGGCTTATTTCTACCTCTACTCTGCCAGATTCACCACTAATAACTTCCTTGCTCCACCAGATAAATATATTTACCTTATTTTCTTGTCATTATCATCAGGGTATGCACACAAAAAATAATAATTGTTTTTCCTAGAATACCAAGTTATGTGTAATATTTCTTTAATTGCCTAATATTTTTATTTAGGAGAGCTATATACTTATTCCATTTAACATGGACATTTGAGAGTGCACTACCTGGATCAAGTGTGTAAAATGCCAAATTTTAAAAAATCATTTTTTCTCTGTTATCAGAATAAGCAACTGGAGAATCTCATTCTATTAACATCTTTGAATGTCTTAAATTACCGATTGTATTGAAATTCAGAAGCATAGCTATTATGGTAGAATGGTTATTAATGATGTCTGGAGAAATGTGTTCTCAGAGTGTGCTAGTATTCTCTACCTGATTTGATAAAGTTATTGCTTCTTATGTGCTCTCATTGTTCTTAGTAGAGAAAGGAAGATATATTCAATATAAAAACAGAAACAGAGAAAAAGAAAAAAAGCAAATAAAAGTGAACGGGATGGGCAATGACAAAGGTATAAAGAAAGAAAATTATCCAATGATAGGTAGTGACAATAAATCTGAGGCATTAAAATTTCCTCCTCTTCTTTTAAAAGGAAGCACTCTGACTCCTTCTTGTTTATAAGGAATTTGTGTGGAAAATAGTAAGTCAATGTTAGTAAAATGCAGTTATTGAGAGTCTTCAAAAAACCCATATAAGACAACTAAAAAAGGATCTAAATGGAGCATCTAAAATAGCTTAAACAGAGGAATTAAATGCATTTAATTTTCTTCGCTCTAATCCAAAAGAGGAAAGAAGTTAAAAATATATAAGCACATGACAATAAGCAGAACAGAAGAGATAACATTATATGAGAGGTATAAACATAATTTTGGAAGATATGTTGTAATAAACAAACCATTACTAATAGTAAAATGGAGACAGCGTAATGCAATTATTGAATACTAGAATAGAATTTCAACAATGGAGACTAAAAAACAATGCAGCAATGCATTCAAAATTCTGAGAGAAAATGATTTTATAGAATTTAAGTGCAGCCAAAACAAAATTAGCGCAGAAAAAATAAATTTTCTGACCCATAAGGACTCAAAACCTTACTTACAGTATTAGTTTACTAGGCTGTTTAAAGAATTACTACACATTTAGCAGCTTACAACAATACACGTTCTTTATCTCACAGTTTCTGTGGGTCTCAAGTCCAGGCACAGTTGAGCTACACCGTCTTCTCAGGGGCTCACAAATTTCCAATTAAGTGACTAACAAGAGCTTGGTTCTTATTTGTTAGCTCAGCTAGGGAAAGATCCATTTCCCCAGTCATGTGGTTGTTGGCAGCATTTGGTCCCTGTAGTTGTAGGATTAAAAACTTCAGGGTTTTTTGGGTGTTTTTGTTTTTGATTTTGTTTTTATTTTTTTCTGGCTGTCTTCCAGAGACTGACCTCACCTCTTAGAAGCTGCCAACAGTTCCTGGCCGTGTGGGCCTCACCAACATGGCTGCTTACTTCATCAATCCAACAAGGAAAGGGAGATACTCCAGCAAGACTGGTGCTTCAGTTTTAGGTAATAATGTAATACTATCCTATATCTTTTGTGTATTACATTGGTTAAAAGCAAGTCACAGGTACTGCACACATTCAAGGGAACCTTGAACAAAGGCATAAATATCATGGGATGAAAATCATGTGGGACCATTCTAAAGTATGTTCAACACACTTACCATGGCCCTTTTCCAAGAAATGGAGAGTGTGCTCCACAAAGCAAGAGAATAAAGAGGAACATATCTCATTGTGCAAACAAGAAAGATGACACAGGGAATAGGCAAAAGGAGTTCCCAGTATGCCTAGCACAACAACTGTACATCTGGTTTACTGAAAGATCAGATTTTAATATGGAGCAAAGATGGAGAGCATCAGGATATTGTAAATAATAATAGTAATGAGGGATTATCTAATACATTCAACCATGTTAATAACGTCTTATTGAATGGGTGTTTTAATTCTTTTGTAGAGTTTGGGAAGAATTCATGATAAGCACCTAAGAAATTTAGGAGAAAAAAAGGAATTCTTGACTCCAGAATAAATAAGAATATGTTATATTCCAGGAAAAAAATATTAAAATAAAAAGGAAATTTAAATCATATGGAATTTCAGTTTTAGCGATAAGTTGTATTTGGTCCTTCAACAAAACATTGTTGAATATTATTTTTTAGATATTTCTTAAACAGAACAGGGAAGGAGACAAATCCCTGTCCTTAATGGAACTTACATTATTAAGAAGGAATGATAGAAAATAAATAAATATAAATTAAATATAAAAATTAATATACAATGCAACCTCAAGTATTAATGGGTGTTAAGGAAATTAAGCAGGATAAGAAGGTAAAATAACACAATGGACATGAAATGGGAAGGGCTAATATTGAGATAATCCAAAATGTATAATTAAGTAGGTGGAGATAGGAAAGTGAGGTAACACAATAAGGTAAAATCTCACATCTTCCCTAATAAAGAAGTTATAAAATTAATTAAAATTGTTAAAAAATAAATCCACTATCCAAATATGTGTTATTGTTCTTTTTTGGAACATTTTAAGGCCAATTAGACAAAACTAGTCCAATCACTTTCAGCTACTCACACTGTTTTCAGATGAGAAAGCACATGGGCAGCTTGTGAGAGCGAATAGGGTCTATTCCTTACTGGGGTTACAGGAAGAAAATATGAATAAATATATGGGATTTAAGATTAATACCTTTCACTTGGAAGTAGACACCATAATAATTAATTAATTAATTAATTAAAAATTATCTCTATGTTCATTGCTCTTAATACGTAGCACACACTATCAAAAATTCACTAGGAAAGCCAAACTACTTAGAAAAATAATATTTGGAATTGATTAAGGATGAAGTTAGGACAAAAACTATATGTATTATTGAAACACAGTTTATTTAAAAATATACTGAAACACATAGATATGACAAATTTTGAATATGAGACTGACTTGTGGAGTTTTTTTAATGCCCCAGTGTTACTAGGGAGACAATATATGATGAAATCTTGAGTCTGAATCTAAACTATCTTTAGCAGTTAAACAGAGTGAGGAGACAAAATGTCTTAAGCAAGATAAATAGTTCACTGACCAAATGGCTAAAGAAAGTTTATCCTCGTTCTTTGACTAGTAAAGGTCAAGTGCAGGCAGTTAAAAGTGATAGGATAGAAACCAACATTTTCATTTACCCATCATAAGAAAATTGGTTGGCTATTGAATGATAGAGGGTATTTTATTCTATCAATAAAAAGGAATCTTTCCTGAATTGGGGAATTGAAATTCAAGGCATTATGAAAGCAAGTCTCTGTTATTAAAATGACTTAAAAATAAGTTATTCAATTAATTCATATTTCTCTTTTAACTCAAAGTCTATTGTGATTATAAAGTAGATATTCCAGACATTGCACATCAAAGATTTTGTATCTTTTGAAGCCTTATAAAACCTCTTCTCAGCTCTATCCAAATGCTTGTGGTACCTAGTATGATAAGATAGAAGTGCTTCCTTCAAGGAGCTTGCAGTCTAGTGGCTACATAATTAAGGGAAACAATGACTGCAGTACAATCTTGTAGGTCTGCAAAAATGTCTGATGAATAGGGTGTTATGGGAAACAGACAAGTTAGTATAGGTCATTTCCTTACCTCTCAGAATAGCTTTTCTAAAATGTGCCTTGATGCATACTATGAGCCTACACAGAGTCCAATTATTATGTTTTAAGCCCTACGTTAAAGTTAAGAAGACGTTAAGGAGAGATTTTTTTCACTGTATCATATTATGCCTTTTATGTGGATCACTGGGTGTCTTCTTTTTCCTGTGTATGCAATTATTCTGCGTAGTTAATATATTTTAATCTCAGTAAGAATTAAATTTATATTTATGCAAAATTATCCCTCTTCAAGTTGTTGAAAGTTACCAAATATATACCTAATAAAAGGTATAGGCATTGAACAGCATATATTTTAGGCTTATATCTGATTCTACTTTGTCCCCACCCTTGTATTTCCTTCTTTATTGCAATCTGTATGTTATTTTATGCATTTTGTGTTTATACGTCTACATTGTAGTTCATATGTCTACACTGAACTAATACGTAAAATAAAGCTACAAAGTTATCAAGACGTTAATTAACATTCAACCAAACATGTGAATGTGCATAATAAGAATGAAGAAGGCATATAGGTGATTGGCAGAAGGCATAGCTAGAAAGTTAGATTTTTAAGGGTTTTGTACATTTAAGTATGAACTTTGTGCTTTATCCTGCAAACATGGAGTACTTCTAAATACTTTTTACCAAAAGAGTTAATAGTATTTGTGTTTGAGAAAGTAGGTCCTGCATAAATACAAGATTTGTACTGGGTTTTGAAGGACAATACAACTGGCTCTCTTAGTAGCCTTGAGTAAGAAATGTACCTTAAGATGAGAAATCTGTAATGATTTAGTACTAGGCACATGGGGAGGACACATTCTATGTCAATTCAGTGAATTGGTTAATTATTTAATGCAGAAGACCTTTCATGATGCAATCATGCTTCTGTGTCAACATAGTAGTCACTAGTTAAGATGGTAGGTTTCTATATATGTAGAAACTTTAAGTTCAAACGTTGGCAGTGCCTGTGTTCTTTTAGCTATTCACATTTAACTGCATGCTAATTCACAATTACAAGATTTTATATGTTCTCTGTAAAGATCTTGAAAGAGAGATTTTGAAAGGAAAATAGAGCTGTCTGTTCTCAGTCAACAAACACTAATTCTCATTCTGTAGAAGAATGTCAGAACTATGTTGCTTGAGACAATACAGTAAAAAAAAATGTATCAAGTTATTTAAACCCTTCTTTCATGGTTGAGATTCCAAATAAAGATTACTTTATTTTCTTCCATCCATTGAAAAGAGAATTGGAGTTTACTACTTAATTTAGTTTTCAAAGTTGTTTATTTTTTAGTAAAATTTTCTTTTTTCTTTTTTTTTGAAGAGGAGTCTCAGTCTGTCACCCAGGCTAGAATGGGCTCACTGCAGCCTCCACCTCCAGGGTTCAAGTGATTCTCCTGTCTCAGCTTCCCAACTAGCTGGGATTACAGGCGCCCGTCACCATGCCCGGCTAATTTTTGTATTTTTTAGTAGAGACATAGTTTCACCATGTTGGCCAGGTTGGTCTCAAACTCCTGAACTCAAGTGATCTGCTCACATCGACCTCCCAAAGGGCTGGAATTGAAGGTGTGAGCCACTGCACCTGGCTCTTGTTTTTTTCTTAAAGACATTTCTTTCTAAATTGAATTTATTTATTCATTTATGATCCCAAAATAAAATTTAAGAAATTATTTTTTTTGTTGTTTATTAAAAGGAAAGCAGGTAAAGGCACCTTCTATTTTATAATCACAGTTGTTAAGAATGAGCAAGGCTTTCTAGATTGATTTATTCATGGCATCCTTATTTCTTGCCATGACAAATTCTAATCTTCATGATGAGAATGTTTACATTTTTTACTTAGAGATTTGATAACAAAGCAATAAAACTGTCCACTGCTAATATTCACAATTATTTGCTTGATCCTCATTTTGACAGCCTTGACTTAGTTCAGAGGGACAACTTATTGTAAAAAACTGACTCTGCGAAGTTTCTTTTATTTTGTTCTTTTGATGTTCTAATAACACTTTGTATCTGCATTCCTTAACTCATGTTAATGAACAAATGGAAGTTTTGGCCTATTTACTTGGCATGATTCAAATCTTATTTGTTAACTTACATTAGTGTGTTAATTTAATAGAGCAGTAACAATAATCTGCCCTTTTCAACATGTAAAACCAGTTTAAAAAATGATTTTCAAGCAAAATATATTTTTCTAAATATTTTCTAAAACAATTAGGACATAATACTCATTTTTTGTTAAATGTATGTATTACCTTCACCCATTCACTGAGTGCCTGTTTTGTAATAAATGTAAAAAATAAAATATAAGAGAAATTAAATTGAATGAATATCATAAAGAAAGTTATACTTAAATGAAACATTTTACTGCAAATAAACTCACACTAATTGGTATAGTAGTTCTCAACTGAGTAAAATTTGACTTTCAAGCAACATTTTAGTGCTAAAGTTGAGAAACCCTAGTGTAGTACGATGTAATTTACCTTAACATTTTACGTAAGACTAATAAATAACCAAGTCATTGCTATTTCCACTGCCCAAAAGATTCTTTTCAAATCAACAATTTCAAATACACAGATAAACTTCTCAGAAGATATTCCTCCACATTTAAATTAATTACAATTAAAACTTCAGTATTTACTTAACTCTGGGTATAGTTTCATAGCAACTGCTTATTTTCTGTAAATGTTTGTTAACATCTCTCTTAATGGGCAAGAGAATAATTTGGTAAATTTTTTTTTTCTTAAATTCCAGTAGTCATTACTATGAACATAAGTTAAGGCACAAAACTTTAGGACTTCAGCCTTTCATCTTTTCCATAAACTGAAAAGGATCCAATATTGCTTTGAGAAAAAATCTTAGCTCTGCACCATGAAAGACTGCACTCAGTTTTGAGTTAATGTAGGATAGGCTTAGATTTAGGTACCTCAGTTTTCATAAAAAATTGTCATTCCTAAGTCTAGCTTACTTAAGGCTTGAAAACACAACTTGCAGTACAGGATCAACAACATATCTGTCTTCAGATGAGGAAAATACTACTTAGGAACATGCTAGAAACATGTGCAATCTCTTTATTCATCTGTACTCTAAAGTTGAATTAGGCCATTCCAGGAAAACCTCCATACCTGGGACTACATTATGGCTACCAGCAGAATAGATTTTTTCTAAACTGTACTTTGATATGATATCATCAACCCAAACAGAGCTATGAAATAGTCCTATGAACCTCCTTGTTTTAATTCTCAGGTTTGAAAACATTTTTCACAATGTCCTCTTTTTCAAAGTTCACAGGGGCAAAAATAAAAAGAAAGAAAAGTCTTTAGTTTTTGTTCCAGGACTAGCTATGGTACTCCTGGGACACAAATATTGTGGAAATTGTTGATTGTGCAAATGTATATGGTTGTCAGAAAGCACAGAATTGAACTTGAAGACCACCATAGCATACAGGACTTTTTAATAAGCTTTCTTCAATCTTTTCTCCTATTTACTGCCTTTATATTCTCCTTGCTACTGTATCCTAATTTAAATATTACCAGTTTTGACTGTGTTTAGCTTAAATATATATTTGTGGTTATCATTTTTGTATTTTTCAGACTGAAAATGACGTTTTGATGCTTATTATAGTACTCAAGTGAAATTTTAAGTAGCCCCAGTCTTCTTTACATAGAATAGAGACCTTATCCCAAGTCTCTCTTTGATGACTTTATATCATACCATGATTCTGCAGAGATGGCTTGCCATGTGGAGTTGTTATGTTTATCACAGTAAATTGTCTCCTAGAAACCGAGACGCTTCTGTATAGATATACTGAAGAAATAGTCAATGGATTTTATGTGTTTAGGCAGTAAATCGGCTAAGCTATCCATGTGGTCATTACTTTTTTTTCTATTTCAAATATATGGGCTAAAATAAAACATATGGAGCAGAAAAAATTTCAGAGAGGATCATTCACCATTTTTTTGTGGGATAATCACAGAACTAAAAAAAAAAAAGAAAATGGAAATGGGAATGACATTTTTATAGCTTATATAAGTTCCAGTTTTTAGATGCAATTATCCTTTATGTATTGTGATAGGGTGGTGGGGCCTAAGGGAATACCCTGGGCCACTGGGTTAGTAGAGAATCTCTTTGGGTTCTGAAAGTATTATTCTCCTGAGTGTAACACTCTGATCTCTCTCTCTCTCTCTCTCTCTCTCTCTCTCTGTCTTTCTTTCTTTTTATTTATTTTTTGATGGAGTCTCGCTCTGTCGCCGAGGCTGGAGTGCAGTGGTGTGACCTCAGCTCACTGCAACCCTCTGCCTCCTGGGTACAAGCAATTCTCTGCCTCAGCTTCCCGAGTAGCTGGGATTACATGTGCCCGTCACCAGGCCCAGATATGTTTTGTATTTTTAGTAGAGACAGGGTTTCACCATCTTGGCCAGGCTGGTCTTGAACTCCTGACCTCGTGATCCACCCGCCTCGGCCTCCCAAAGTGTTGGGATTGCAGGCGTGAGCCACCATGCCCGGCCAACACTCAGATTTCTAACTAGTGTAGACTACATTCTTTCATTGCCTTTTGTCTTCACTTGCTATTTTATTCAGGCATTAGTCATCTGGCTCAGATTTTCTGTAATCTCATTCTTCAAGTAGCTTCTTCATTACCTGACTAGACCCAACGCTTGTCACTGCTAACCCGACTTCCTCAAGTCTTAGGCAATGAGGTCTGTTAGATTCTGGGTCTGTCCTAGCAGATAGGTGAAACTTAGACAAGAGGTTGAGTTATTTATGACTAAGTGAAGAAGGAAAAAAGAGATCTCAGAATAATGTAAAATTTAAGGAAATAGTTGTTAAAAATTACATTTTGGTTAAAATAATAAACATGGGAGATTTAGCTATAGGGATTCTGAAAATAAACTGAGGTTCTTATTTTATTATAAACATACAGTTTATACAAAAAGAATTATTTTATAATAGATGCTCTGAAAATTCAAGAATTGAAGTCTTCTCCATCACATTTTTTATAAAAATAGCTAAATTTATTTAGCACGTAGCTTTTGCTAGGTACTCTGCTGAGAATTTGGCATGACTTATGTTATTTACTTTCTTTTTGGATAGCTCTATAACCGGAGGACTATTATTATTCCTCAGTAGATATGAGGAAACTAATGTTCAAGGAAATAACAATGTTATCAAAGTCATACATTTAGGAGGTGGTAAAGCTAGAATAGAAAACCAGGTTTCTGACCTAGCCTATTTATTTAATCACTATGACATACTGGTATAAAGCTGACATCTTGAAAAGTATATCTCCTTTATTAAAAATGAAGCAGTATTATATCCAGTTCTTTGATATCATGTTTTATTTTTTAACATTCATTGAGATCTAGTTTACATTTCTTACAACTCTCTTATTTAAAATGTACTATCTAGTGTTTTTTTCTGTACTCACAGATGTGTGAAGTAATCACTGCACTTGATTTTAGAACATTTCATCACTTCTAAAAGAAACCCCATACCTTTGGTTAACTCTTCCCAAGCCCCATCCCCACTCTCCATCCCCTGTCCTTAGCAACCACAGATGTACTTTCTGCCTCAATAGATTTCCTAACTTTGGATGTCTTATATTAATTGAATCACATAATAAATGGTATTTCGTAACTAGTTTCTTTTCATTAGCATAATATTTTAAAGGATCATCAGTACTGTAGTATGAGTCAGTATTTCATTATTTTTAATGGTCAAATAATATTCCAATGAATATGTATGCTACTTTGTTTGTACATTCATACATTGATGAGCACTTGCCTTGTTTCAACCTTTTATCTATTATGAATAAAGTTAGTAAAAATATTTGTGTACATATTTCTGTATGGACATATGTTTTCACCTTTATGGATACAATGTATATCTAGAAGTGGAATTCCTGGGCCATATGGTAACTTTGTATTGTATTTGAGGACTGCCAAACTATTTTCCAAAGCAGCTGTGTCATTTCAAAATTCTATAGTATATGAAGTTCTTATTTCCTTGCCAATATTTTTAATATCTGACTTTTTGATTCCAGTCATCTTAGATGTGTTTGATATCTCATTGTGGCTTTGATTTGCATTTTTCTGATGATGCACGATGTCACATGTGTTTTTATATGCTTATTAGACATTTGTATATCTTCCTTAGAGAAATATTTATGTAGATATTTTGGTTAGTTTTTAATTGGGTGCCTTTTTATTAGGTTGCAAGATTTAGTTTATGTTCTGAATTTAAGTCCTTTATCAGATATATGATTTGTAAATATCTTATTTTGTGGATAATCCTTTTACTTTCTAGAAGCTGTCTTTTGAAATACAATTTTTTAAAAAATTTTGATGGTGTCCAATTTATTTTTTTTCTTGTTGCATATTTTTGGTGTCATATCTAAAACTTATTTGTGAAATCCAAGATCACAAAACTTATGCTTATTGAATTTTTTTAAGAATTTATAGTTATAGCTTTTACATTCCTGTTTTGATTCATTTTGACTTTTAATTTTTGTATGCAGTGTGAGGTATGGGTCTAAATTCATTATTTTGCCTGGGGCTATCCAATTGTCCAAGTTCTATCTGTAGAAAAATCTATTTTTCCCACATTGGATAGAGTCATCATTATTGTTAAAAACTAGTTGTTCATGAATATATGGGTTTATTTCTGGAGTCTCATTTTTATTCTGTTGATCTACATGTTTATTTTGGACCATTACTAAGCTGTCTTAATTACTGTCTTGTATGTTTTGAAGTTAGGAAATATGAGTCATCAATCTTTGCTCTTCCTTTTCAAGATTGCTTTGACTATTTTGGGTCTTTGTAATTTAATAGGGATTTTAGAATCAGCTCATAAATTTTTACGAGAAGTCTGCTTGGTCCTGATGAGAATTCCATTGAATTTGCGATTAGTTTGGGGAGTATTTCCATCTTAACAATGTTAAATCTTCTAATCCATTAACATGGGATTTTTTCTGATAGTTAGATCTTCTTTAATTTATTTAAACAGTGTTTCATAATTTTAAGAGTATACATTTCACACTTTTGCTAAATTTATTTATAAGAAAAAGAATGAAATCGTGTCATTTTTGGCAACATAGATGAGCTTGGAGGACATTATATTAAATAAAATAAGCCAAGCACAGGAAGTTAAATACTGCATGTTCTCACTCATATGTGGGAACTAAAAATGTTAATATCATAGAAGTGCAGTAGAAAAGTTGTTACTAGAGCCTGGAAAGGATAGTGGGGAAGGGGATAGAGAGAGGCTGGTTAATGAATACAAAAGTATGGCTAGATAAGGTGAATAAGTTCTAGTGTTCAACAGAACTGTAAGGTGACTCTAGTAAACAATAATTTATTGTACTTTTTCAAAGAGCTAGAATACAGGGTTTTGAATGTTCCCAAAACAAAGTAGTGAGAAATGTTTAAGGTAATGGATATGCTAATTATCCTGACTTGATTTTTACAAATTGTATATATGTATCAAAATATCACACTGTATCTCATAAATTTGTAAAATTATTGTGCATCTATTAAAAACAATAATAAAGATACAAATATTTATAAGTGTTATTTTTGTTGCTATTGTAAATGAAATTGTTTTCTTTATTTCATTTTTGGGCTGTTTATTGCAACTTTATAGAAATAGAACTGGGGAGCCAAGATGGCCAACTAGACACAGCCAAGGAAGAGAAGAGCATCTCCCACTGAGTGATCCGACTGTCACGAAGACTGGCACACTTTGAGAAGAACTTCAGAAGGTAGTCATTGAGAGTGGGTGAAGAGAGGACTCAAATCCTGGTCTAATGCGGGAGGAAGCTGGGAGCCCTGTATGAGACTGCTGAGCACCAGGACTCATTCTTGGCCTCCAGTGTCTCCTGGGAAAGGGGTGAGTTAAATAGGCAAGGAGTGGCCAACTCTCACCAGGGACCTCCAGAATCCTAGCTGCAGAAGACCCCCTAACCCCCACAGACATTTGAGTTGACGGGGAGACTATTTTGGAGAGGTTGCAGGAAAAAGACTCCAGTCTGTGTGGACCCCAGAGGGTGTGGTACAGGAAAGGGTGCAATGAGCACATCTATAAACGCCCATACTCCAAGGCTCAGCAAGCTACTGTAGATAGCTTTGGCCTTTGTTAACTGTTAGATTTGGACACAGCAGGGTGGTCTTGGCTCTGGGATGGGGCCAGTATGATTTGAGGGACCACTCTGTCTGCCACCCTCTCCCAGAGTCCCTGCCTGTCTGAGGCCACTTGCAGTGTAGCCCCAGATACCCAATCTGAGTGCTTCCCAAAAGTTGCTGCCATTGCTCCTTGACTGGAAGACTGCACTTGATCATTGAGGAGTTCCAGCATATGGTCCCTTGACAATGTGCACACACTGACCTGCATTTTCCTACAAAACACAGCACCCCCAACCCACTGCACAACTTTGCAGGTGCACACACATGGGCAAACCTCACTGCCCCAGATTTGCCAGTGTGTGTGTGGACTCTGCTGCCCTGCAACCACAGGCACAAGTGCACCCACAGATGTTGCCACCTCACTCCGGTCAGTGCCTCATCCCCGCCAGTGTGTGCATACCCAGCCTCGCCGCCACAGCTGGCACAGAGGTGGGTGCACACGCTGCCTCCCCACCACCATATGGATGCTGGCATCTGTGTGCACCCAGCACATTGTGCACCTGGCATGTGTGTGCTGCCACTGCCATTGGCACACCTGCATGTGTGGACACTGCTACTCTGCTCTGTTAAGGATGCTGCTGTCCCACCACCACCAGTGCCTTTGTGCATCCTGAAGCACTGCCACCACTGCCAGGGCCCTGCCATGACCAATGGGCATGCACACTGCCATGTTACCTCCAATGCTGCGATGCAGGTGTGAACATGGCCTCCACTGTCATTGCCACAATCAAGCATTTTGGGTGGCACTTCCCATGAGAGTTTTGTTTCCAGTGCACTGGGAACACTTTAGCCCTTTCAGTGTAACAGGTGCTTAACCTCAAGGAGCCAGAGCATAAAGGAATGAGCCTGCTGCCAACTGCCCAGGTTTACAGCATGCAGCTCAGAAGTGTTGAGCTGAGCCTTGGCCCCATAAAATCTTCCAGAAATGAAGCTAGTCAACTGAATCCACCTTATACTACAGTCAAACCCTAAAGGGCATTTAAGACTATAAAAGCAAAAGAAAGAAAAAAGGAAAAACATTCAAAGAACAGCAACTTCAAACATTAAAAGAACATCAGCCCATATAGATGATAAAGAACCAGCATAAGAACTGTGGCAACTCAAAATGCCAGTGTTTTCTAACCTCCAAATGACTACCCTAGTTCCCCAGAAATGGTTCTTATCCAGGCTGAAATGGTTGACACGACAGACATAAAATTCAGAAACTTGGTAGGAATGAAGATACTTGACGTTCAGGAGAAAGTTGAAATTCAATTCAAGGAATCTAAGAAATGCAATAAAACAATTCAGGAGCAGAAAGGTAAAATAGCCATTTTTATGAAATAACCAAACAAAACTGATAGAACTGAAAACCTTACTAGAATTGTTTAATACAATCAGAAGTATTAACAGCAGAATAGACCAAGCTGAGGAAAGAATCTCAGAGCTCGAAGACCAGTTCTTCAAATTAACTCAGTCAGACAAAAACAATGATAAAAAAGAATACAAAACAATAAACAAAACCTCCAGGAAATATGGGGTTATGTAAAGAGACAAAACCTACCACTCATTAGTGTCCCTGAAAAAGAGATAGAGAGAACAAGCAACTTGGAAAACATATGGAAGACATTACCAACAAAAATTTCCCCAACCTCACTAGATGGCTTGACATTCAAAATCAGGAAGTGCAGAGAATGCCTGTAAGATACTAGAGTTGAGCATCCTCAAAACACATAGTCTTCAGATTCTCCAAAGTCAACACGAAAAAAAAATGCTAATGGCAGCAAGGGAGAAAAGGCAGAACACCATAAGGCTAAGAGTGGACTTCTTAGCAGTAACTTTACAAACCAGAGTCCTATATTGAGGAATTTTAAAGAAAGGAAATTCCAATGAAGAATTTTGCATCCAGCCAAACTAAGCTTCATAAGTGAAGGAAAAATAAGATTCTTTTCAGACAAAAAAATGACATGGGAATTTGTTACCACCAGATTTGCCTTAAAAGAGGTCCTTAAGGGAGTGCTAGTCATGGAAATGAATATTGTTACTGGTCACCACTAAAACACATTGAAGTATACAGACCATTGACAGTGTAAAACAGCCATGCAGTAAAGTCTGCATAACAACCAGAAGATAACATAATGACAGGATTAAATCTGCATATATCAACATTAACCTTGAATGCAAACAGGCTAAGGGCCCCACTTAAAAGTCCCAGAGTGGCAAATTGGATAAAGAAGCAAGACTCAGCTGTGTGCTGTCTTTAAGAGACCCATCTTCAGTGACACCCATAGGCTCAAAGTAAAGGGATGGAGAAGAATCTACTAAGCAAACAGAAAAGAGAAAAAAGCAGGAGTTGCTATTTTAATTTCAGACATGGCAGGCGTTAAACAAAAAACTGTCAAAAAAGTCAAAAAAGGCATTATATAATAATAAAGGGTTCAATTCAACAAGAAGACTTAACTCTCTAAATATATATGCATGCAACACTGGAGCACCCAGATTCATAGTAGAAGTTCTTAGAGACCTATGAAGACAATTAAATAATTACAAAACCATAGTGGGAGACGTAAAAACTGCACTGACATTACTAGACAGATAATTGAGGCAGAAAACTAACAAAGATATTTGAGGCCCGAATTTGACATGTGACCAAAAGGATCTAACAGACATCTACAGAACTCTTCACCCAACAACAGATTATATGTTCTTCTCATCCACCCATTGCACATAGTCTAAAATTGACCATATGATTGGCCATAAAACAATTCTCAACAAATTGAAAAAAGCCAAGATCATACCAATCACACCCACAGACTACATTGCTATAAAAATAGAAATTGATTTTAAGAAGATCTTTCAAAACCACACAATTACATGGAAATTAAACAACCTGATCCTAAATGACTTTTGGGTAAACATTTAAATTATGGCAGAAATCAAGAAATTTTTTGAAACTAGATAAAAACAAAAATGTGGCTGGGTGCAGTGGCTCACACCTGTAATCCCAGCACTTTGGGAAGCTGAAGCGGGTGGATCACCTGAGGTCGGGAGTTTGAGACCAGCCTGACCAACATGGAGAAACCTTGTCTCTAATAAAAATACAAAATTAGCTGGGCTTGGTGGTGAATGCCTGTAGTCCCAGCTACTCGGGAGGCTGAGGCAGGAGAATCGCTTGAACCCAGGAGGCGGAGGTTGCGGTGAGCCGAGATCGTGCCATAGCACGCTAGCCTGGGCAATAAGAGCAAAACTCCGCCTCAAAATAAATAAATAAATAAATAAAATTAAATAAAAACAAAAATGTAACACACCAGAATCTCTGTCTAAAGCAGTGTTAAGAGGAAAGTTTATAGTGCCAAACACCTACAGCAAAAAGTTAGAAAAATTTCACATTAACAACTTTAGATCACACATGGAGGAACTAGAAAAACAAGACCAAACAAAACCCAAATGTAACACAGGAATATAAATAACCAAACTCAGAGCCAAACTGAATGAAATTGAGATGCAAAACAACCATACATAAATCAACAAAACTAAAAGCTAGTTTTCTTTAAAATAAATTTGATAGACTACTAGCTAAATAATAAAGAAAAAGAGAGAAAAGATCCAAATAAATAAGTCAGGCATTATAAAGCAGACCTTATCACCCAACCCACAGAAATACAAAAATCCTCAGAGATTATTATGAACACTTCTATGCACACAAACTAGAAAACCTAGAAGAAATGAATAAATTCCTAGAAACAAATAATCTCCCAACAGTGAAAGAGGAAGAAATTAACAGCCTGAATAGACCAATAATGAGTCCCAAAATTCAACCACTAATTAAATTCCTATCAACCAGAAAAGGCCCTGGTCCAAGTGGATTCACAGCTGAAACTTGCTAGACTTACAAAGAAGAGCTAGTATCAATTGTATTGGAAACACTTCAAAAAATTAAGGAGGAGGGACTCCTACCTAACTCAATCTATGAGATAAGCAACATTCTGATACCAATATCTAGTACAGACACAACAACAAAAACGAAAGCTTCAGGCCAATAACTATGATGACCATAGATGAAAAAATTCTCAACAAAATACAAGTGATCTGAATCCAGCAGCACATCTAAAGGCTAATCCACAATAATCAAGTAGGCTTTATACCTGGGATGCAAAGTTGGTTCAACATATGAAAATCAATAAATTTTGCTAATCACATAAACAGAACCAAAACCAAAACCACAGAAATATCTTAATAGATGCAGAAAAGGCTCTCAATAAAATTCAATATACCTTCATGGAAAAAAAAAAAAAAACCCTCAACAAACTGGGCATTAAAAGAGCATGGTTCTGGCCGGGCGGGGTGGCTCATGCCTGTAATCCCAGCACTTTGGGTGGCCGAGGTGGGCAGATCATGAGGTCAGGAGATCAAGACCATCCTGGCTAACACGGTGAAACCCTGTCTCTACTAAAAATACAAAAAATTAGCCAGCGTGGTGGCAGACGCCTGTAGTCCCAGCTACTCAGGAGGCTGAGGCAGAAGAATGGTGTGAATCCAGGTGGCGGAGCTTGCAGTGAGAAGAGATCACACCACTGCACTCCAGCCTGGGCAACAGAACCAGACTCCGTCTCAAAAAAAAAAAAAAAAAAAAAGAAGAGGATGATTCAAAATGATAAGTGACATCTGTAACAAAGCCATAGCCAACATCATACTTAATGGGTAAAAGCTGGCAGCACTTTCCTTGAGAAGCAGAATAAGACAAGGATGTCCACTCTCAACAATCCTCCTCAACTGAGTCCCAGAAGTCCTAGCCAGAGCAATTGGACAAGAGAAAGAAATGAAAGGCATCCAATAAGAAGAGAGGAAGTCAAAGTATCTCCTCTCACAGATGACATGATTTTATATCTATAAAAATGCATAGTCTCCACCCAAAAGCTCCTAGATCAGATAAACAATTTCAGTAAATTCATGACACAAAATCAATGTAAAAAATTAGTAATATTTCTATATACCAACAATATCCAAGTTGAGAGCAAGAATCAAGAATGCAATCTCATTCACAGCAGCCACACACACACACACACACACACACAATATATAAGAATACAGCTAACAAGGGAGGTGAAAGATCTTTACAATAGAATTATAAAACACTGAGGAAAGAAATCAGAGACAACACAAACAAATGGGAAAACTTTCCATGCTCATGGATAGGAAGAATCAATATTGTTAAAATGGTCATACTGCCCAAAATGGTCAAAGCAATTTATTAAATCAATGCTATTCCTATCAGAGCACCAATGACATTTTTCCTAGAATTAGAAAAAACTATCTAAACATGCATTTGGAATCAAGAAAAGAGACCAAAGAGCCCAAATAATCCTAAGCAAAAAGAAAAAATTGAAGGCATCACTCTACCTGATTTCAAATGCATTACAAGGCTAGAATAACTAAAATAGCATGGTACCAGTACAAAAACAGACACCTAGACCAATGAAACAGACTAGAGAGCCCATAAACAAAGCCACACACATAGAACCATCTGACCTTCAACAAAGTTGAGAATGACAAGCAATAGGGAAAGGAATTCCCATTCAATAAATGGTGCTGGAATAACTGCTAGACATAGGCAGAAGATTGAAAATGGACCCCATTCTTTTTTTTTTTTTTAATACTTTAAGTTCTAGGGTACATATGCACAAGGTGCAGGTTTGTTACATATGTATACCTGTGCCATGTTGGTGTGCTGGACCCGTTAACTCGTCATTTACATTAGGTATATCTTCTAATGCTATCCCTCCCCCCTCCCCCAACCCCATGACAGGCCCTGGTGTGTGATGTTCCCCACCTTGTGTCTAAGTGTTCTCATTCCTCAGTTCCCGCCTATGAGTGAGAACATGTGGTGTTTGGTTTTTTGTCCTTGTGATAGTTTGCTCAGAATGATGTTTTCCAGCTTCATCCATGTCCTTACAAAGGACATGAACCCATCCTTTTTATGGCTGCATAGTATTCCACGGTGTATGTGTGCCACATTTTCTTAATCCAGTCTATCATTGATGGACATTTGGGTTGATTCCAAGTCTTTGCTATTGTGAATAGTGCCGCAATAAACATACGTGTGCATGTGTCTTTATAGCAGCATGATTTATAATCCTTTAGGTATATGCCCAGTAATGGGATGGCTGGGTCAAATGATATTTCTATTTATAGATCCTTGAGGAATCGCCACACTGTCTTCCACAATGGTGGAACTGTAAACTAGTTCCACCAACAATGTAAAAGCATTCCTATTTCTCCAGATCCTCTCTAGCACCTGTTGTTTCCTGACTTTTTAATGATTGCCATTCTAACTGGTGTGAGATGGTATCTCACTGTGGTTTTGATTTGCATTTCTCTGATGGCCAGTGATGATGAACATTTTTTCATGTGTCTGTTGGCTGCATAAATGTCTTCTTTTGAGAAGTGTCTGTTCATATCCTTTGCCCACTTTTTGATGGGGTTGATTTTTTTCTCGTAAATTTGTTGAAGTTCTTTGTAGATTCTGGATATTAGCCCTTTGTCAGATGAGTAGATTGTAAAAATTTTCTCCCATTCTGTAGGTTGCCTGTTCACTCTGATGGTAGTTTCTTTTGCTGTGCAGAAGCTCTTTAGTTTAATTAGATCCCATTTCTGAATTTTGGCTTTTGTTGCCATTGCTTTTGGTGTTTTAGTCATGAAGTCCTTGCCCATGTCTATGTCCTGAATGGTATTGCCTAAGTTTTCTTCTAGGGTTTCTATGGTTTTAGGTCTAACCTTTAAGTCTTTAATCCATGTTGAATTAATTTTTGTATAGGGTGTAAGGAAGGGATCCAGTTTCAGCTTTCTACATATGGCTAGCCAGCTTTCTCAGCACCATTTATTAAATAGGGAATCCTTTCCCCATTTCTTGTTTTTGTCGGGTTTGTCAAAGATCAACTGGTTGTAGATGTGTGGTATTATTTCCGGGGGCTCTATTCTGTTCCATTTGTCTATATCTCTGTTTTGCTACCAGTACCGCGGAGAGCCATTGATTTTGTCAAGTCAAGCTAATTTTAAGCTAAGAAATTAGTTTCAGAAGATGATGTATCCATTATACAGAATTAGCAGCAAGAATTAGCAACAATGAATATCTATATTTTATTCCTAGTTTTCTGCTATTTTTACCACAAATATATATCACCAATTATTTAGCAGATAGAGTATAATTATATTTGCATAAATGTCACAATATATTAATTTTGTATCAATTCTATACATTTTACTTGTCTTTCTAGGTCCAGATATTTCTACTAACCCCCATTGGTATCCACCTTATGCTTTCTAGACAGTGAGCATAAAAAATAGAAATAACATAAATTTTTAAATATTTAGTATAAAATTACTAAAAAAGTTCATTAACAAATTAAGACTCCTGGCATTCTGAGATTGACTTTATTTGGAACAGGGATATGTATAACAACTTATTAAATATATATATGTATATGTGTGTGTGCGTATATATATATATATATATATACGCACACACACCAACCCATTATATGAATCTTTTTGTCCTCTACATTTTGCAAGTGAAAATTAACAAAGAATGCTTCCAAAATGTCAAACTATATGATGCCTAGAAACTGGTTTTAAGTCTAGTGTTTGCAGAAAAGAAATTAAATTGAAAATAATTATGATGAGTGAGATTGAAAAGCAGTTTGAGTTATTATATTTAAATATTGGTAAATACTTATTCACCCATGTTAGACAATGGGAATGTTGTCAGTAACCACAAAACTCCATCAATTTTAAAAGTAAATGCATTCTGAAGAGAAAGAATTATAATTTGTAAGACCATGAAAAACAACATAATTTCAAGCTACGTTTATTTTATACTAAAATTTATTTAAATTATTTCAAATGTTCTGGTTATATGAACGTATAGACTTAGGATTATATTAATCAAAAAAGTAATTTAGATTTTTGTATACTCTTCAGATTGACCTGAGAATAAGAAAATACTCATTGTCTCTGTCAGACTAAAAACCTTAAATTTTACAATGTTTCTTATACTTTTAATAATGTATTTTCTTCCAGAAGATTACTTCAGTTTACTAATTGTGTACATTAATTATGTGACATATATTTATATTTAATTAATAAACGTGTCCATTGGAAAATAGAAAATGTCTATCAAAAATAATTATATATTTTTTTATATTATAGATCCCAATAACAAAAGATACAAAGTCTCTCATCAACATATCAAAAACTTCAGAGGACCAGCAGCTTCTGACGCCCAGTGTTCTCTTAAAGTGACTGACCATCAATTCAGCATTAGTAATGATCAAAGAAAGTAACATAGAAGTTTTATACACAATTTTAATTTGACATTTCTCTAGTTTCAAATATGGACTTGACCTTTATTTTCATCCTTCAGAAATCAAATGTAGAAAAGATACAAGCTATTCCTTTTTCTGATAGACTTAATGTTTTTTTGAAAAATGAAATATTTTATTACTTCCTTACCAAGCACTTTTATGTAAAGTATGAAAGTTTGTCCACATTATTCTCTATGAAAGGGTTTTGTCACTTAAATCTCTTGATAAATGCTCCTAGAGAAACAAGTAACATAAAGACAAAGTGAAAATGGAAGATTGAGAAGAGGTAAAAATAGTTATTAACAGTACATAATTATGTCTGAAAAATATAACTTATTAGAGATGAAACTGTTCCTTTTTTTAATCGTGTCTGTCTTTTAATAGTATGAATGCTCCCTGTACAATGGTGAGTAAGTAGAGCAAGTTTATCACTAATAAAAAAGACTGTCTAAATTGTGATTGTCAGTGAAAACAAAGAAGCAGATATAACAACATAGTAAGAATAAAATTATTTATTTATAGTTATAATAGCATTTGAATATGACATTTTCTAACTCTAAAACACTTTCTAAAGATTTTGCAAGTTTACAAACTAGTTGACATGATTTACTTTTTTGATAATATGTTACTTTTGAATTCTCTAATTTTACTTATTTTGAGCTTAGCCACTACTTCTGCAATTTTTTTAAAATTGTTGTTCTCATTTATAAGAATTCATGTCATGGAAATCCCCAGAGACTACTTATATTTAAAGAGTAGCTTCTCATCCAAATCACTCTGCCAAATCTTTCTTCTAGACTTGCCTATTGGAAATTGTGATATAAAACAACACACAGGTCATTTTCAGGTAGTGATTTTAAGTTAAGTGACCCAGTTACCTAGAAATGACCTGTTCTATAATCACATGCCTGCTGTGGCAAGTAGTGGCAGGGGAAGTTTCTCTCGTAAGATGACATTGCACAGTGACTTGCAGAAAATGAGACAATTGGGTTTCTGGGTGAGAGAGTAATTAGACCAAATGTTCAAGAACAAAGATGAGATTTGGGGAGATGTTTGCTTGCGCAGTTAATGAAAACAGAGGTTGACAGATGAGGTAACAAAGAAAAAGAGGTTGTGTAACTTCTACTGGTCAGTGGAAACTATTTTAAAGGCTTTGGCTTTACTCTGACTTTAGTGGCTAGGCACTTGTTCAAGGGCAGATAAGTGACATCTGACATCTATGTAAGAAAATATTTAAATAAAGTAAGGGTTCAAGCAGAAGAATAGATAGGCAGCTACTGCAATAATCAAAGCTGATAAAATAAGGTGGTAACATTAGAGGTTAAAATCTGTATATATGTAAGAACGTATAGAAGGAAGGAAGAATTTGCTGATAGATAGATGTGGATTATAAGATCAAAGTTTCCAGGAGATTTTTGTTTTCTGTTTTGTCATGTGTGTTTCTTTTTTAAAAATACTTTATTTCTCTTTTTTGGCCTGAGAAACTGTAATAATGTCTACCACTGAGTTGTGGGAAGACTTGGAAAGGAGCATATTTATTTAAGTGACAAGATTAGAACAGAACTCTACAATTTGTTTTTGTATATATTACCTCTGAATTGTCTATTAGCCATCCAAGTGGTGAAGTGAAGTAGAACTGTCAAAGGATTATTGCGCTTAAAATGTCTATTCAATGTCACTAATCATAATAATATCACCTGAGGTTTGTATGGGCCACTCTTGCCCATGACTGGACATGATTTCCATGACTACCCTGGAAGTAGCTACTTTCATTATTACTAGGTGAAAAAAAAAAAAAAAAAAAGTTCAGGGAAGTTGTTTTCCCAAGTTTCTTATTTCAAAATAGAGGTCATAAATTTCTTACAGGATTGTTATAAGAATTGAAATAATGTAATGAACATAATACATTGAGTTAAAATCACAGTTTTCACACAAAGGTACTAAAACCAATATAATAAAGAGTAGTTAACAATGTTAATTTATGGGCTAAAATTTCCATTTTATGATTCGTGACCAAATATAATTTCTAATACTCTGGCTCAACAACTTTCATAATTAGTGCAATGTTTGCCACAAAATAGAGATTCAAGAAATGTTTTTCAAATACATAAAGGCTTGTGACACTTTATATATATAGAAGGAAATAACAGATATGCCAAGAGCCAAATATTTAAAAAGTTACATTTCTTAAAGCACATATTACTTAAAAACTGTAGAGCTAGTATATGGGAGAAAATAAAAATTATTGGTAATACCAAAACTGGATAATTTTGGAGTTAATTTATTCATGTTTTTTTTTTCCTTTTGGGAGAGCTGTATTTTATGACACATAAATAAAATTGTTGTACTCAAAACTATTCTCTTTATAAGATTTTGATT